>NC_000023.11:146596818-146899848 GCF_000001405.40 Homo sapiens
AAATGTTTAGTAGAATTCAGCAGTGAAGCCATTGGGTTTCAGGGTTTTCTTTACTGGAAGACTGCTCATTAAGGCTTCAATCTTGTTACTTGTTATTGGTCTGTTGAGGTTTTGAATTTCTTTATGGTTCAATCTTGGTATGTTATATGTGTCTAGGGATTTGTCTCTTTCTTCTAGATTTTCCATTTTATTGGCATATAGTTGCTCATAGTAGCCACTAATAATCCTTTGAATTTCTGCCGTATTAGATGTAATGCCCCCTTTTCCATCTCTGAATTTATTTATTTTAGTATTCTCTCTTTTATTTCTTAGTCTGGCTAAAAGTTTGTTGATTTTGTTTAACTTTTCAAAAACACAGCTTTTTGTTCATTGATCTTTTGTATTCTTTTCTTCAAGTATAATTCACTATTTTTTTCTCTGACCTTTATTATTTATTTGCTTTTACTAATTTGGGATTTGCTTTTGCTTTTCTATGTCTTTAAGATGAGTCCTTAGGATTGTTTATTTGAAGGATGTCTTCTTTTTGGATGTATGCATTTATAGCTGTAAACTTCCCTCTTAGTACTGCTTTTGATGTCTCCCATATGTTTTGGTATATTGTGTTTCTATTATCATATTTCAAGAAAGTTTTCAATTTCCTTCTTAAATTATTCATTGACCCACTGGTAATTCAGGAGCATATTGTTTAATTTCCATATATTTTTGTATAGTTTCCAAAATTCCTATCATTGTTGAATTCCAGTTTTATTCCATTGTGCACAGAGAATATGCTTGATATAATTTCAATTTTGTCAATGTTTTAAGACTGGTTTGTGACCTACCTTATCATCTATCCTTGAGAATGATACATGTGCTGAGGAAAATAATGTGTACTCTGCAGGTGCTGGATGAAATCCCCTATAAATATTTATTAGAAATATTTGGAATATAGTGCAGATTAAATTCCATATTTATTTGTTGACTTTTCTGTCTGGAATATCTTTTCAATCCTGAGTATGGGGTGTTGAAATCTCCAGCTATTATTATATTGGTGTCTATCTCTTTCTTTAGCTCTAAGAATATTTGCTTTATATAACTGAGTGGTCCAGTGTTGGGGGCATATATATTTAAAATCGTTATATCCTTGTATTGAATGGACAACTATATTTTCATATAGTGACCTTCTGTTTCTCTTCTTATGGTTTTTGTCTTGAAATCTATTTTGACTGACATAAGTACAGCTACTCCTACTCTTTTTTGGTTTCCATTGGCATGGAATATCTTTTTCTAACCCTTCATTTTCTATGTATGCCTTTTTAGGTGATCTGCTTGTTGTAGGCAACAAATCAGTGGGTCTTGTCTTCTTTTTTTTTTTTTTTTAATCCATTCAGCTAATCTATGTCTTTTGACTGGAGAATTCAGTCTTTTACATTCAATGTTATTATTGATAAGTAAGGACTTATTCCCGCCATTTTCTGATATGTTTTCTGGCTGTTTTGTGGTCTTCTCTTTTTTTTTTTCTTTCCTTCCTGTCTTTTTTTTAGGGAAGGTGATTTTCTCTGGTGATAGGACTTGGTTTCTTGCTTTTTATTTTTTGTGTATCTCTTATATGTTTTTGGTTTGAGGTTACCATGAGGCTTGCAAATACTATCTTATAGCCCATTATATTAGGCTAATAACAAGTTAACACTGCGTAATCAAACAACCAAAAAGAAATGTGCTGGCCAGGCGCAGCGGCTCACGCCTGTAATCCCAGCACTTTGGGAGGTTGAGGCAGATGGATCATGAGGTCAGAAGATCAAGACCATCCTGGCTAACACGGTGAAACCCTGTCTCTACTAAAAATACAAAAAATTAGCCAGGCTTGGTGGTGGGCGCCTGTAGTCCCAGCTACTTGGGAGGCTGAGGCAGGAGAATGGCCTGAACCCAGGAGGCGGAGCTACCAGTGAGCCGAGATTGCACCACTGCGCTCAAGCCTGGGCGAAAGAGCAAGACTCCATTTAAAAAAAAAAAAAAAAAAAAAAAAGAAATGTGCTAAAAACTCTACACCTTAAATCTGTCTCTCTGCTTTCTAACTTTTTTTTGTTTTTATTTATATCTTATTATACTGTTTATGTCTTGAAAAGTTGTTGTAGTTATTATTTTTAATTGGTTCATTGTTTTATCTTTCTCCTTCAGAGTAGTTTACACACCACAGTTACAGGGTCATAATATTCTGTGTTTTTCCGTGTGCTTACAACTACCAGTGTTTTTTGTATCTTGAGATGATGTCGTATGGCTCATTAACATCCTTTTCTTTCCTGTTGAAGTACTTCCTGTAGCATTTCTTGTAGGACAGGTCTAGTGTTGATGAAAACTTTCAGCTTTTGTTTGTCTGGGAAAATCTTTATTTCTTCTTCATGTTCGAAGGATATTTTCACTGGACATACTATGTTAGAGTAAAAGGATTTTTTCATCACTTTAAATATATCATGCCTCTCTATCTGGGCCTATAAGGTTTCCAATAAAAAGTCTGTTGTCAGATATATTGTAGCTCCATTTTATGTTATTGGTTCCTTTTCTCTTGCTCTTTTTAGGATCCTTTCTTTATCCCTCATCTTTGAGAGTTTGATTATTAAATGCCTTGAGATAGTCTTGTTTGGGTTAAATCTGCTGGGTGTTCTACAACCTTCTTGTGCTTGGATATTGATATCTTTCTCTAGGCTTGGAAAGTTCTCTGTTATGCCTTTGAATAAAGTTTCTACCATTACCTATTTTTCTACCTCCTCTTTAAGGCCAATAACTCTTTGATTTGCCCTTTTGAGGCTATTTTCCTGGCCAGACGCAGTGGCTCACACCTGTAATCCCAGCACTTCGGGAGGCTGAGGCAGACGGATCACGAGGTCAGGAGATCAAGACCATCCTGGCCAACCTGGTGAAACTCCGTCTCCACTAAAATACAAAAATTAGCTGGGCATGATGGTGCATGCCTGTAATCCCAGCTACTCGGGAGGCTGAGGCAGGAGAATCCTTTGAACCCAGGAGGCAGAGTTTGCAGTGAGCCAAGATCGCGCCATTGCACTCCAGCCTGGTGATAGAGCCAGACTCCGTCTCAAAAAAAAAAAAACAAAAAAACAGAAAAAGAAAAAAGGGTCTCTCTCTCTCTCTCTCTCTCTGTTCTGAGCCACCTGGAGCTGGGACTGGAGTGAAAAACACCCCTGTGGCCACCATTGCTAGGACTGTGCTAGGTCAGACATGAAGCCAGCACAGCACTGAGTCATGCTCATGGCTTACTGTAACCACTCCCTGGCTACTGCCTATATTCTGTCAAGGCCCCGAGGCTCTAAATCAGCAGGTGGCAAAGTCCGCCAGGCCTGTGTTCTTCCCTTCAGGGTGGTGAGGTCCTCCAGGTCCTGTGTGGGTCCTAAGGTACCTTGTGGGAGTCAGAGACTAGAGTCAAAAATCCTAGAAGTTTACCTGGTGTTCTATTATACTGTGCCTGAGCTGGCACTCCAATAATGAGATACAGTCCTTCCCACTCTTCCCTCAAAGGCAGAGAAGACTCAACCTGTAGCCATAGCCGTCACAGGCCATGGAGAGTCACACCAGACTACCTCTGATGTTCCCTTAATGCTCAAGGGCTCTTCATTCAGCGTGTGTTGAATCCTGCCCATCCTAGGATTTATCCTTCAAGGAAGTGGTCCCCATTCTAAACCAGGGCAAGTCCAGAAATGCTATCTAAGATCCAAGACCTGGAAGTGGAGACATCAAGAGCCTGCTAGGTGCTGTATTCCCCTGAGGCTGAGCTGGTACCTAAGGTGCAAGACAAAGTCCTCTGCAATTTTTCCTCCACTCTTTTCAAGCAGAAGGAGTCTCGCCTTGTAACTACCACAGCTGAAAATGTGTTTAGTATCACCTGAAGCCGGCAAGTCTCATTGTCTCACCCAAGGCCCTCATCATAGTACCTGGGTATCACTGCTGGTTTTTCAGGGCCCAAGGGCTCTTTACATAGCAGGTGATGTTTCCAGGACTGTTTATTCCCCTTCAAGGCATCAGGTTCCCTTCTGGCCCACAGTATGTCTAGAAATGTCATCTGGCAACTAGAACCTGAAAACGGGGTCTTGTGACTCTGTTCTGTGCCCTAGCCTGCTGGGCCTAAGCTAGTATCCAAGAGGCAAAACAAATTACTTGTCACTCTTCCCTCTCCTCTCCTCAAGCAGGGGAAAGGGTCTCTTGGAACCAGGATATGTACGGCCCGTGATTAAGGGTGACGTGATGCCAGCATTCCCTTGATCTCTCTGCTGGTGTCCCAATAGATCATGTGCCACCCAATTCCACTGGCCCTGGGACTAGTTCAGCACTAGAATTCACCTAAGTGTTGCAGTCTTTGTGGCCTCAGCTGCCTATCAAGTGCATTCAAAGCCCCAAGAGCGCTTTAGCCCACGGTGACAAGGCTTCCAGGAACTCAAGTTCTGATCGCTGGAATAAGCTATTCTTTTCTGACTAGGGCAGGTTTAAGTACTCCCTCCGTGGGTGGACGTCAGCTGAGTTTGACTCAGTTTGACTGAGGGCACCACTGAGATCAGTGTCTCACAATTGCTGCACTCTTCCTCTCCCCAAAGCACGGAAAGAATCTCTACACTCTTCTGCCACTGCTGAGAGATGGAAGAGGGAGGGTGTCAGCAATTCAAGACCGTTTTTTTTCTACCATTTATCCATCTATGTTTGATGAGTTTTAAATCTTAATGTATTACTTTTTATTAGTAAAAGATTACTTTGGTTATTTTTCCTCCCTGCCTGTTTCTCTTTGGAGAGAATCTTTATTATGGTGAGTAAGAACACAAATTCTGAAGCCAATTTGCTTGGTATGCAGTATGTTCCCACCATGTACTAACTATGAGAACTCAAGGAAATTCACCTTTCTTCTGGATGCCTCCATTCCCTCAGCCATAAAGTTAGGATGCAAGTGGTTTTCTATCATAGCTAATCTCTTGGCTTACTCACTGTACTCACTTGTCTTGTAACTCTGTCATCCCTTATTTTACAAAGTTCCTCATTAAATTACCTCTATTTTTAATAGTGGTTTCTGTTTTCTTGAATGTACTCAGTTTCTTATTTCTGTTTCCACCCCCTGATTTATTGAAGTATAATTGACAAATACAGATTGTGTATATTCAAGCGTTACAGCATGATGACTTGAATATATCTATATCTATAGATATATTCAATTATTCTATATATACACACATATGTAAATGTATATGTAGATACACACATTTTGTGATAATTACCAAAATCAAGTTAGCACATTCATCACAGACCATAGTTAACTGTGTGTGTGTGTGTGTGTGTGTGTGTGTGTGTGGTGAGGACTCAAAATCTGCTTTCTTCTTGTAACCAGTCTCAGGTTCAGCTGCTTATGTCCCAAAAACAAAATTTCAGAGACAAGCATTGGTGGATGGGAAGAAATGTAGGTTTATTCAGGAGCCGGCAGCCCAAGGAGATGGTGGACTTGTTTTGCAAAGATATTTCAATTTTCTCAGACTTGCAGAAGGGGATTTACGGGGGAAGAGGCTTGGTAAACTATGTGTAGGAGTTAGCTATGCGGTTCAGCACGTCTGATTGTGATTATTATCTTGAGTAATGGGCCATCTAAATGTCTAGCTGATGTCATCTAAACTGAAACAAGATTGAAGATTAACTGTTCAGCATTTTTTTTTCTGGGGAGAATGTTTCACAGTCTTGGTTTTATCTCATAATTAGTTCCTGGAATTCTTAAGCAAGCACACGGTAAGGCACGGTAAAAGAAAGCATATGGCAATTTGCTTTCAAAGTGGAGTGAGTGCTTCAGTTACATTATCAAATTTCAAGTAAACAATACAGTATAATTAATTATAGTTACCATGCTCTGCATGAAATCCCCAGATCTTATTCTCTTACAATGGAAAGTTTGTACTCATTGACTAACATCTCCCCATTTCTCCATCTCCAGACCCTGGCAACCAGGATTCTACTCTTTGCTTCTTAGTTCAAAGTGTTTAGATTCCACATACAAGTGAGATCACATAGTATCTGTCTCTGTGATTGCCTTATTTCAATTAGTATAATGTTGTCCAGGTTCATTGATGTTGTCACAATTTGCAGAATTTCTTTTATTGGTTGAACAGTATTCATCTGTATATCTACCTGTCTATATCTCTATCTAATATTTTCTTTATTCATTCACCTATTGAGAGACACTTACATTGTTTACATTTTATATCTTAGTTATTGTGAATAATGCTGCAATGAACATTGGAATACAGATATCTCTTCCGGATACTGATCTCATTTCCTTTGGAAATATGCCTAGATGTGGGATTGCTTGATTTTATGGTATGTCTATTTTTATTTTTTTTGAGAAACCTCCATAGTATTTTCCATAATGGCTGTACTAATTTACATTCTAATTAACAGTGTACAAGGGTTTCCTTTTCTCCACACCCTCACTATCGCTTGTTCTCTCAGGTTTTTGATCATTGCCATCCTAACAGGTACGATTTTGATTTGCATTTCCCTGATGACAAATAATGTTAAGCATCTTTTCACATACCGGTTGGCCATTGCATGTTTTCTTTGGGAAAATTTCCATCTGAATCTTTTACTCATTTTTACTTGGATTATTTAGTGCTTTTTTTGTATTTTGGGTGGTTTCTTTTGCCCTTTAGTTCCCTATATATTTTAAACATTAACCGTTCATCAGATACAAGGTTTGCAACTATTTTCTCCCATTTCGTAGGATGCATTTTTATTTTGTTGGTTGTTTCCTTTGTTATGCAGAGGTATTTAGTTTGACATAGTCCTACTTGTTTCTTTTTGCTTTTATTGCTGTGTTTTTGATGTAATATTCAAAAAATCATTACCAAGACCAATGTTAAGGAGATTTTCTACCACATTTTCTTCTAGGAGGTTTATGGATTCAGCTCTTACATCTAAATTTTTAAATCATTTCAAGTTAACTTTTGTATGTGTTGTAAGACAATAGTCTAATTTCATTCCTTTGCATATAGATGTCCAGTTTTTCCAGGAACATTTATTAAAGAGACTTTCCTTTCCCCCATTGTGTGTTCTTAGGCCTCTTGTCAAACATTATTTGACCATACATGTATAAGTTAATTTCTGGGCTCTCTGTGCTTTTCCATTGATGAATCTCCCTATTTTTATGCCAGTACCATTCTGTTTCCATTACTAGTACTTTGTAATGTATTTTGAAGGCAACCCGTGTAAGGCCTCCAGCTTTGTTCTTCTTTCTCAAGATTCCTTTAGCTATTTAACATCTTTTATGGTTCCGTACAGATTTAGGATTGTTTTATCTATTCCTGTGAAAAGTGCCATTGGAATTTTGATAAGAATTGCATTTATCTTTTGGTATTTAGTTCTTCATTCATTTTTTTAGGTATCGGAGTGTATTTTTTTCCTAATTTTAAAAATTGTAGTAAAATACACATAATATAAAATTTACTATTTTAAGTGTAGAGTTCACTTCAGTAGTATTAAATACACTCATAATGTTTTGCAACCATAACCACCATCCATATCCACAACCTCTTTTCTCTATCAAAACGGAAACACTATAACCATTAAAAACTAGCTCCCCTTTGCCCTCTTCCTCCAGCTGCTGACAACCACCATTCTACTTTCTGTCTTTATAATTTTGACTACTGTAAGTATCTCATATAATTTGAATCATGTTGTCTTTTAGTGACTGGCTTGTTTCACTAAATATAATGCTCTCAAGGTTCATCCATGTTGTAGCATGTGTAAAAATTTCCTTTTTAAGGCTAAATAATACCTATTTATTTTAGTACAAGAGATTTATATTTCTTTCCTATAAATTCAATTTTGCATGGTTTATAACATTGTTATATTCTATTATTTATTGATTTCTGTAATAATATAGTTTTCTGGTTGTCTTTGTTGCACATTATGCCAGACCTGTGCATTTATAACATATATTATGTACCAAAGGGGGATATATTGTAGTATTAGCATCAGTACATTAGGTACATGGAAATAAAAAAGAAACTGTTATGCATAATGATATTTTATCTTCTCAAGCTTAATGAAGTGCTTTTGTAGGGCTTAAGTAGTTTAGGTGCCTAAAGGGAATTGTTTGGAAACTAACTGATTGGCTGGTAAAGGTGGAGGAATAATTTTTAACCTGGGACACTATCATAAAGAAATGCCTCAGAGTTAATTTTCATTTAACTGAAGTAGAAAAAAAATTGACTAAACTACAGATTTTATGTAATTGGCAATTGTAACCATTGTTGACCATAAGGAATTATTAAATATGATGTCTATTGTGTATTCATAGTATATCAGTCCATTTTCTTTTTTTTTTTTTGCAAAGTAGGTCAGTAGATTTAATGTATTATAGTATGAAAAAGTCATTAATATGATTATAGAAATTTATCATTTAGTGAGTTTTGATCTAGAACAAAAGAAAATATCTACACTTATCTGAAAAGGCTATTAAAAGATTCCCTTTCCAACCATATATCTGTATGAAGCTAGATTTTCTTTTTTTTTCTATTTTTTTTTATTATACTTTAAGTTTTAGGGTACATGTGCACAACGTGCAGGTTAGTTACGTATGTATACATGTGCCATGTTGGTGTGCTGCACCCAGTAACTTGGCATTTAGCATTAGGTATATCTCCTAATGCTATCCCTCCCCCCTCCCCCCACCCCACAACAGGCCCCCGGTGTGTGATGTTCCCCTTCCTGTGTCCATGTGTTCTCATTGTTCAATTCCCGCCTATGAGTGCGAACATGCGGTGTATGGTTTTTTTGTCCATTTTCACACTGCTGTAAAGAAATACCTAAAACTGGGTAATTGTAAATAAAAGAGATTTAATTGGCTCACAGCTTTGCAGGCTGCACAGAAAGCATGGCTGAGGGATGGGGGTCTCAGGGAGCTTTTACTCATGGCAGAAGGCAAAATTGGAGCAGGATCTTTATATGGCCAGAGCAGGAAGAAGGGGTAGCGGTAAGTGCTACACACTTTTAAACAAGCAGATCTTATGAGGTCCATTTCAAGTTAACTTTTGTATATGTTGTAAGACAATAGTCTAATTTCATTATTTTGCATATAGATGTCCAGTGTTCCCAGCACTATTTATTAAAGAGACTTTCCTTTCCCCCGTTGTACAAACAAGGGTTTCCTTTTCTCCTCACCCTCACCATCACTTGTTCTCTCAGGTTTTTGATAATTGCCATCCTAACAGGTATGATTTTGATTTGCATTTCCCTGATGGTAAATAATGTTAAGCATCTTTTCACATACCTGTTGGCCATTGCATGTTTTATTTGGGAAAATTTCCATTTGAATCCTTTACTCATTTTTAATTGGGTTATTTGGTGCTTTTCTTGTATTTTGGGGGATTTCTTTTGCCACTTCATTCCCTATATATTTTAAATATTAACCTTTCATCAAATATAAGGTTTGGAACTATTTTCTCCCAGATACCCTAAATTATTACTGTCAAGTTCAAAGTTCCACAGATTCGTAAGGCAGGGACACAATGCCTCCAAGTTCTTTGCTAAAGCATAACAAAAGTGACCTTTGCTACCATTCCTAGTAAGTTCCTTAATTCCCTCTGATACCTCCTCAGTCTGGACTTCGTTGTTCATATCACTATCAGCATTTTGCTCACAACAATTTAACGAGTCTCTAGCAAGTTCAAAAATTTCCCTCAACTTTCTGTCTTTTTCTGAGTGCTCCATGCTCTTCTAACCTCTGCCCCTTACCCAATTCCAAAGTTGCTCCCACATTTTTGGATATCTTTATAGCAATGCCCCACTCATCGGTACCAATTTGCTGTATTAGGCCATTCTTGCACTTCTATAAATAAGTACCTGAAACTGGGTAATTTATAAAGACAATAAGTTTAATTGGCTCACAGTTCCACAGGCTGTACAGGAAGCATGGGAGCTTTTATTCATGGCAGAATGCAAAGTCTGAGTGAGCATCTTCACATAGCGGGAGCAGGTGGAAGAGAGAGAGTCAGAGGTGCTACACGCTTTTAAACAACCAGATCTCGTGAGAACTTATCACAAGAACAGCACTAGGGGGACGGTGTTAAACCATTAGAAACCACCCCCATGATCCAATCACCTCCCACCAGGCCCCACCTCCAGAATTGGGGATTACATTTCAACATGAGATTTGGGTAGGAGCGCAGATCCAAACCATATCACATGGGTATTCATAGATATCTCAGACCACACTTTCAGTGCAGAAATCATCTTACAACAAATATTTACTGAGCAAATACTTTGTGTCAGACATTGTTTTAGGTTGTAATGATACGTTGGCAAATAATATGGACAAAAATCACTACCATTTTGGACTTACGTATTAGAGAAAGAAAAAGAGTAGGGTGAGAGATGTCGGGAGTGTTGAGAAGAGGGAGTATAAAGTGGGGGGACTACAGTGTAGGCATCACTGATGAGGTTGCCTTTAAGTAAAACTTGAAGGTATGAACTGTGGAAAAGAACCTCTATGCATAGCAAAAAAACAAGCGAAAAACCCAAAGGTGAGAAAATACCTGGCTTGTTCAGAAATGGCAGTACTGAATTAAATCTTTAAATTAAGTATTTTAATGAATCTCCTCATACAATACATGAAAAATAAAGACTGACTGCAGATTTGGTCATACAGGAAATTTGTTTACATTTATCTTATTAATAATTACTGAAACGAAGTGGGGAGAGTGGGCTGAGGGTATGACAGTTATGTTCATATATGAATCTTGTTAGAATAATTGGGTATGGGGAATTCAACATAAAAAATAATTAATAGGGATTGCACAACAGAGAAATTAGCAAACAAATGAATTAAAATTAAAAAGTCCCACTTCATAATAATTATTTTTGATGGAGAAAAATGCAAGATGCAGGTTTTCATTCTTTGATCAAAGACTTAGTCAAGACAGTAATCCACAAAAAAAGAGATTGTCAGGAATTCTCGTAAATGAAACTCATTTCCCATATATGTGCATTATCTCTCCAAATATCATAAGTCTAGTTTTTCTTTATATTAGTATGAATACATAGAAAACAGATACTTAAAGGTTACTAGCGTTTGCAGGAATTCTAAATTTCATAGCCAAATGTATATTTGACTGGGTTTGAGGTTGAAAAATAACTAGGATGCATTTTTAAATTGTTATTTCTTTACATGCCTAGATCGTGATACATTGAAGGTTTTAAAAGTTATTGGATTTTTCCAAGAAATTCTCAAATCATTTCCCTAGGAAGAAATTGCTCAATGTGATTGTCCCTCATTATGTAAATTGTACTCATTGGGAATTTCACATACACACATTTTTCTCTTTAGATAGAGCTGTTGAATTTCTTAGGCAGCAAAGACATGCTGAATTAGCCAGAATAAAGGAGATTTGGAAGATGTACCACACATACAAAGCAATATTAAGTTAAAATTAACAAAATTAGTTTGAAAGTTCAATGAAGTGAAATCATTTGTAATTATCAAATAAAACCTAATGCACTTTAATGTTTCATTGGGTCCTATATGATGATTTACTTTTGTATACATTAACATTGTATCTTGCAATTAAATTCATATGGCTGCTCAGGTTCTCAGCTCGTTCTCTGGGGTTTCAGTCAATATGTCTAATTCAATGTTGATTTCATTTTTGTGTTAATTGAAGGATTTTTCTGATTCTGATAGTTTCTCTAATCCTTAAAATTCAGTTTAAATAATTTTGCAGTTATATAATTTTGATCTCCTACATAAATCAACAGAACTTTAAATATTATTCAAAGTAATAATAGTAAATTGGTGGTATCAATCAGAATATATACTCTGAAGAAGCCAGTGAGGAAATTAAACATAATCATAGTTCATATCTTATGGCAATTGAATGGTATTTATTTAAAAAAATAAAATCTGACTAAATACAGTTTTAGCTATGATTTGCACAATTTAAATTGGAATTAAAGTTTCCTGTTTCATTAAAACTGTATTAAAAAGCAAGCCATTAAATAATCAAAATTATCATGATATGCAAATGGGTTGATGCTTTGAGAATTATAGCAGCAAAAGTAACAGTGTTTTGTATATATTAATATAAGCAAAAAAATTTAATAAGGGACCTTGGGCTGATGACCTAATTAATGTAATGTGGCCATGTTGCATATACACAATCTATTCCAATTTATAAATTTAACCTAATTGGAAAAACTAGAGATATATTTATCTTGGTGAGGTCACAATATAGACTGTGAAAATTGAAATCAATCCTGATTTTTTACTGACTGATTAAATAACAAGCTAGTAACAAAATGCGTACCTTGCTAAAATTATCTTTTTGAGAAGTTAACTGATCCCTGGGAAAGCAGGTATTGGGGTACCTTAGAAGGCGTACCCTTCCAGGATAGTCACATGACTGCCAAGGTCAGAGCTGTGGGGTAGGCTGAACATGCACGGCCTATAAGAGTGCACTTGTCATTTACAAGGATTTAATGTTCAAGCTTGTACTAATCAAGAATACACACATTCAAAGTGGAGCGCATATTATTGTTCGAGATATCTTCAATAATTACATAGTGTTGAATTTTTGATGGTAGAAATTTTCACCATTTCAGGTAAATTTGTAAATTGTCTTTTATCTGATTGGATATGATGTGTATAATCAGTTGGAATGTATGTGTGTTTTAAAGACAGGTGGACTTGGTTGAATTCCTAACACAGTTCTTTCATTTGTTAGCCATGGAACCTTGAATGAACTTAAGCTGCTGAGTTTCAGATTTCCTATCTGTGCAATTAGAATAATAAGAATACCTACCTCGGTTTAAAGGAGATACTGCATGTAAAGTGTTTAATGGAAAGCTAGCATTTGTAAGGTGCTCAAAAATGTTAGCACTCTCATTGAGTTTACTGGAATGTCTTTTGCCACTAGGCAACTTGACTGCACCCTTTACATTCTTCTCTGCATCACTAGGGAACTGCCTTTCCCAGGGTCCTTTGCCTCCATGATTTTTCACTGCTGTCTTTCTTTGAGCCATTCACATGAGATTTGGAAGTTGGACAAGAAAGATAAGGCATTATTCTCAGGTGGCATCTTTGGGCAGAGGCTTGGATACTGGCCGCCTGCAGATCATTTTCTTGAGAGTTGAAGGCGGCTGAAGGTACTGGTGGCAAGCTTTCTGTAATCCCTATTCTTCCAAATTTCCTGAAAATTAGCCATGGCTCTCAATGACATTCCCCCTCAGGCTTCCAGTAATTATATAAGCTTATAATTATCTGCGTGAAAGCTCCTTTTACTCAGAATACCTAGGGTGTCAACTGTTTTCATAACTCTGGCAGATACTTTGAAGATACTATTGTCCTTCTAAGTTGTCGCTCCTGATCAATAGTTTACCTCTCTTTTGCATTTGATGTTGATATGTGGCTTCCTTAACATTTCTTTCACTTGCTCGTAGCCAATTTTTAGAATGATTTTATGTGGGTCCCCTTTTCTTCAACATCTTCTCAATACTGGTGCATCTGAGAGTTCCATTTATGGCCCTCTTTTACTATACACATTATCCCTATATTGATACCTACTTCCTCTTTATCTCAAGAAGTTACATCTCTAGCCTCAAAACTTTGAATAAATGAATAATGAAGTAAAAAAGAAAATTGAATGGGGAAAGAAAAAGTGTACCCTTAATATACATGGTGTTTTAATGGAGTGTATTTATTCCACCTACAGAAAGGTGGAAGAAGGAGGAAGCACAGAGGCACCGTGCTTAGAGAAAACATCAGACTTATAAAATCATTCTAAACATATTTAGGATGTACAATTTACTCCAAGTATTTCTAATGATGAGGAATATAATAGAGGAGATGCTGCTTTTAGTAAACTAGGAAGAAATTTAAACTTTAAGAAATCCTGGAGGAATATATTTTTTAACTTGATGCTCTTTTTGAGGATTAATAAAAGATAATAATGACAAGTGAACGTGAACAAAATAGGCATGAGAGAAAAGTAACATTTATTATACTGGACAAATTAGAACTCTTTTCGGAAATGATCTATGATCAAGTCAGGGAGAGATTTTCAAGCTGGGATATGAGAATCTAGGGTTCCTAGTATGTGCCCTAGTGAGACAGGCAGAGTTCTATAACGCCTGCCAAGATTTTCATCCCCCCATGTAATGCCCCGCGTAATCCTTAAAACTGTCTATGGTGATTTGCCTTTCCTCTTATTTAGGTTATGTTATATGGAACAATAAATTTTAAGAATGTGAGGTTATTTAGAAAGACTGACTTAAACACTTGAGCCCTTTAAATCTGGGTCTTAGAAATCACAGGGCGAGAGATGTCAGAGAGACCCCTCTTGCTCTCCTGGAATAAAGCACAGTATTATTCTTAAGTCTCAACTCTATACGTTGAGAGTGGCCTCTGGCTGACAGCCAGCAAGAATATAGGGATGTAAGTCCTACGGTCACAAGGAACTCAATTTTTCCAATGAGCTGAATAAACTTGGAAGTCGATTCTCCTTTAGAGCATCCAGAAAGTAAAACAGCCCTGCTAGTATCTTGATTTCAGCCATGTAAACCCGAGCAGAGAACACAGAGACACTGCGCTTAGAGTTCTGGCACACAGAACTGTTAACTAATACAGGGGTGTTGTTTGAAACCACTACGTTTGTGGCAATTACATATACATCAATTTATAGTTAATACATCTAGGAACCTCTGTATTGGCAGGATCAGCAATCCAGACCCTCAGGATACTTCAACTCCGGCAGTTCCATTTCCATATTTTATGTTGTGCATCATAATTTATTAAAGTAGTACATTATTGTGGCACTCCTATATATTGGATTTACGTTTCAATCAAGTTTCCTCAGTAATGTAGGCAGAAACAGCTTGAAGCCCTGATTCTTTTCTTATATAAAACCCTGAACCATTTGCAGAACTTTTGCTGGAGAAAAGGGAGGACACCAGAGAATGATACTGAAAGTACCGTGGATGAAAGGACAGATTCTCAAAAGTTGGTAAAAAGCACAAAGATCTGTCCTGCTTGCAGTGAAACCTTGGTTCAGAATCCTAGAAGCACCCTAGATATATGGCAAGCTATAGCGAATAATGTCTGCATGGTGCACTTATGGAGGTTCACGTTATTTCCACCAATATCTATGCTTTGACCATGGAGTCAAGTAGCATGGAAGTCAGGACGGAAGGGACCCTGTACACAGTATTAATGGAGGTTTTGGTGGGAACAGGTCAACACAGATGACATATGAACAATGGGGCCCAATTGTTTCAAGCCACCACCTTGTTTTGCTTGTACATATGATTCTAGAAAAGGAGAGGGATAAGCTTCAGAATTACTCAGAAAACACTTGCCAACAATTGGAGTTATAGACATTTTGATTTGGAAGGTGGTTGGAAGACAGTAATGTGGTATTTCCTACCTACCTATGGTCTTACACTGTATTTCATAACTTACATCAAATTGGGATTTGATGTAAGATTTCACTTGAATTAAAAAAGTGTTGACAAGCTACCACCTGACCCATCACCTGTTGCTATAAATACAGTCATTCGTCGCTTAGCAAACGGGATACATTCTGAGAAATGTGAGGTTAGGCGAGTTTGCTATTGTGCAAACATCATAGAGTATACTTACACACACCTACATGGTATAGCCTACTATACACTTAGGTTCGATGGTATAGCCTATTGCTTCTAGGCTATAAACCTGTACAGCATATCGCTGCACTGAATACTGTAGGCTATTGGAACACAGTGAGAAATATTTGTGTATGTAAACATTTATAAACACAAAAAGGTAAAGTAAAAATGCAGTGTAATAGATAAAAATGGTACACCTGTAGAAGGTACTTACCATGAGTGAAGCTTGCAGGACAAGAAGTTGCCCTGTGTGTGTGAGTCAGTGAGTGAGTGGTGAGTGAACGTGAATGGGAAGGCCTAGGACATTCTACTACTGTAGACTTTATGAACACCATACACTTAAGCTGCGCTACATTCACAAAAAAGTATTTTTCCTTCTACGATAATAAATCAACCTTAGATTACTGTAACTGTTTTACTTTATAAACTCGTTGACTCTTTTGCAATAACACTTAGCTAAAAACAGAAGCACATTTTACAGTTGTACAAAATGTTGTCTTTCTTTATGTCCTTATTCTATATTCTCTATTTTTATTTTTTACTTTTTAAACTGTTTTGTTGAAAACTAAACACACATATTAGCTTCGGCCTATGGCAGGTTAGGGTCATCTATACCACTATTTTCTACCTCCACATTTTGTCCCACTGGAAGGTCCTCAGGGGCAATAACAGGCATGGAGCTGTCATCTCCTATGATAACAATGTCTTCTTCTGGAATACCTCCTGAAGCTCTTCTTAAGGAGATGACATTCTTTTCAGAAATATATGTCCATGGTGGTTTGCTTGATTTATTTTACTTGTTTTCATAGAGTTGTTTGTAAGCAGATAATGCAGCATGAGGATTCCTCTTTATTAAATGAAAACCTTTCAGTGTTGGGGTCCATGTTTTTAAACTCTTTAAGGAGCTTATTGAGGCCTGCAAAGTCTTTTGCCAAACCCTTTTCTATGAATTTTCTTGGGGGCTATTTTCCTTCTCCTGCAGTC
The DNA here is from genome assembly GCF_000001405.40 of Homo sapiens. Lineage (NCBI taxonomy): Eukaryota > Metazoa > Chordata > Mammalia > Primates > Hominidae > Homo > Homo sapiens. Next base: position 146,613,454 of record NC_000023.11, read on the forward strand.
TCCTTTTCTCTTGCCTCTTCTTCAACTATGCATTTCTTTTCCCATTCTACAACTCCTCATTACTCAATTTCTCAGGCACCACCTCTAGGCGCTACTCAATGTCTCATTCGTCCACATCCAGGTTAAAGCTGTTTGTCATCTCAACCACGGCCTTGTCAATTGTTACAACCTCCTCATCCTTGACAAATTATTTGAAGTCATTAATGAGCTTCTTGAGTGTCTTCGTCCAGATGCCATTTCTACATTCCTTGCTGACATCTCTTCAATTCCAAGCAAGGTTTTTGATACATCTTGGATGTTATAATCCTTCCAGAATTGCATGAGTGTCTTCCTCAGTTGCAGTGATAGCCTGGGTGTAGGTCCTTCTCTGGTAGTAGTCCTTTAAAAACTGCTGAAATTCCTTGATGCATTGGATCAAAGAGGTGGTGTTTAGAGAGACAATCAGCACTTTGATGTTGGGATGAAGATGATCAGTAAAAGGAAGATGTGCAGGAGCATTATCAACAACAAGCAAAATCTTGAAAGGTATGTTATTCTCCTAACAGTACATTTTTCTCTGGCACAGCAACTCATGAGGGCTTCCTGGAAGAGGAGATGCATAATCTGTGACTTCTTATTGCTCCTGTAGTACACTGGCCATGTGTGCTTATTGGTATGCTTGAATGCCCTGGGTTTCTCACTGTGTCAGATCACAAAGGGTTTCATTTTGTAGCCTGCAACATTGCCCCAAAGCAAGACTGTATCCTGTCCTTAAAACCCTTAAAACTTGGCATTGACTTGACCCCTTTATGACAGAAAGTCCTTTCAGGCATCTATTTCCAGAATAGGGAGGTTTCATCTACATTGAAGATTTGCTCTAGCAAGTATTTTTTATCTACGACTCATCTAGAGTTTCCAAAAATTCTTCAGCTGCCTTCATGTCAGCCCTCAAAGACTCACCAGTCACTTTTATATTATGTAATGGATAAAGATTCTTGAATTATTTAAACTACCCAGAAATACCAGTACATTCAATATTACAGTTGGATCCAGGCTTTTCTTTCAACATTATAAATAACCCTTTTGCTTTAACTGTAGTCTTTATGGTGCTGAGAGAGCTATGTTTCTGTGTCTGGTTTTCAATCCAGGTCATTAGAAGTTTCTTCATATCTGATGTAGGCATTTCTCAAACTTGTTGGTCTCGTCACCTTCGATGAAGCAGACACTTTAACAATTTCTGTCACTTTGTTCTTGTTCTTCAAGGTTGTAGCTACGGTGGAATGGGACATACCTGTCTGGCCAGCAATAACCATCACTGATTTTGTACCTTTGGAGGTCCTTAATCACTTTACATTTTGTTATCGACGTGACCTCTTACCACATTAACTGTGGATTTTGAATGCTTAGGAACCGTGATAAACAAAACACTTGAGAATCAAGGACCAACGAAAATGATGCAATCAAGAGACACAGTAAAGACAAGGCTGTCTGTGGCTGCTGCCGGTTTAACACGGCATACTATTTTACAGTAAATATTCTTTTATAGGTACAAGGAGTACACTCTAAAATAACAAATAAACGTATAGTAAATACGTAAGCCAGTAACATAGTCATTTATTATCATTATCAAGTATTAGGTACTGTACATAATTGTATGTGCTATACATTTATGCAACTGGCAGTGCAGTTTTGTTTACACCAGTGAAGCAGCTTTGTTGTCGAGGGTAAATACTAAGGTTCTTGTTCTCACGGCCAAGGAGATGGAGGTTGCAGACACACACACACACACAAACACACACGCACACACACACACACACACAGCAAGCTTGGAGCAGGAGTTTAATAGGCAAAAGGAAAGAACAGCTCTCTGTCACAGAGAGGGGTCCCTAGCGGGTTGTCAGGCGGTAGTAAAAATGTCAGGGTTTTTATAAATGGGCTAGAGAGGAGGGGGCTAGTGAGGAGGGGATGTCTTATCCTCCGAGGGCCCAACAGTTTAGTTGGGACCGGGTGTGCTATCTGTATAGAGAAGAGGTGTTCGTTTGTTTGTTGTTTGTTTGTTTGTTTGTTTGTTTGTTTTTAATCAGCTCTCACCCCATTCCCTGACCACATAGGCAGAATCTTAGTCTGTGCGGCTCTGTTCTGCTTTGTGTCACTTATCTGGGAGGGAGAGTTTCTGTTCCCAGACATCTTCTTGCAGCTACAGGCATCCCCCCGGCCCCCAACGTCCACTTCTAGCTTCTCTATCTTAGTGTGCCTAAAGAAAGAAATGTGCTTATTAAGGCCCACTGTTTCTACTGGGGCCCCTTGTTTGAGTGTGAAGTTTGGTGGTTATCCAGGAGACTGCCCCTCTCCTTCTGTGCTAGAGTGCTGGCTTATCTGTGATTTACAGCCTGATCTTTCAGGCTGCCCTTTGTTAGAAGAGAAGTGATTTCTTTGAACTGCATGAGGTTAGAACGGGAACTATTTCTGAGCTGCTTTTTCTTAGAAGGAAAGTTTTCTGCCAGGGACTCGCTTTACTCTGTGTACCTGAATAAATTCTTTCTATTTCCTGTAACACTAGTATCACCAGGAACATGTTAGTAATTCATTAAGCTACAATGTCACTAGGTGGTAGGAATTTTTCAGCTTCATTTCAATCTTATGTGACCACCATTGTATATGTGATCTGTTGTTGACAGAAATGTCATTCTATGGCACTCCACTGCGAAGTTTTATTGAGCACAGCCACGCTCATTAGTTTACATATTGCCTATGGCTATGTTCCTGCTACAGTGGGTGTGCTGGTGGCAACAGATATTGTGTGATTATTAAAGCTGGAAACATTTAATGTTTACCCATTACTGGAAAAGTTTGCTGACCTCTGAAGTATAAGATTCTGTGGGTAAAATAAATTTGAGAACTACCAAAGTGAAGGAAACTCAATTATTGCAAACACGTAACAAAGAACCCACGCACCATTTTGGATGAACCCCAGAGAGACCAATATTTCCAAGTATCTGTTACTGGAAGGTTTCGACCTTGAATTCATTTTACCCTTATTCTAATTTTAGGACTAGCCATCATGCCATCCAAATATTATCTTACTTGCATTTATCCACAAGTTGCTGATCTGGGAGGTGTATATAATTAAAGCAGGATGGGAACTTAAGTGATAAAGTGTGGATTTTTAATTGCTAGAAGGCAATACAAACTGTTCTTTTTTTGACAGACATTTTAAAAGGACTATGTACCAATGACTCATTTCTTGTCAAACTTGAGGACATTTGCTTAAAACTATCATTTTGAAATAAATACATATTTCATTCCAAAATGATAATTTCCGAAAAACATCATTTAACATTTTGCTTGTCATGCATAAATGGGAAATCAGTCACAACAGGAATTAACTTGAGCATTTTTTTATTCTGAAAAAGTTTCTTCCAAATATTTGTTTTCTCTTTTACTAAAGTTTTTACTTAAGTAATGTAAAACCCGTGCCTCTATTTGCTATTGTAGTTACGAATTCTTTCTCTTTTGGGAAAAAGAAAACATTGTGTAAGCTAGTCCTGCTCCCCTTGAATGATAATACTTGACTATAGTTAATATTTTACTCTTTTGTGGATAAAACATTTAAAAATTCCTTTTAGTTTATTAAGAAGATTGTACACATTTCAATTTACTGTTCATATACAGGTATCTACATGCCCCATTAAAAATACATGAGATAGTCCAAGTTAACTTTTACCGATATGCTTACATTTTTAATTATGATCTATTAACAACCACATGAAATATTTTAAAGAAAAATATAAGAAATTGCTGTTTACCCAACACCTATCCACCTGAAAAAATAAAACATTACAAATGTAGTAGAAGAATGTCATGTAGCCTTTTCAAGTCATATTATTTTAAATATGGAATTTGCCACTCATGCATTTTAATAAATAATGTATACTATTGTTTTCTTGCATACCTATTGTAGTTTCCATTGCTCTACAACCTTTCCAATATGTGGTATTGTAAAGGCTACTTAAATTTGACCAATAAAACATATACGATATGGTCCAGTGTTGTTTAGTTTATAATTCATTGATTACTAGTGTGATTCAGCAGTTTTTCGTTTCTTTTTTTTTTTTTCTTTTTTTTTGAGATGGGGTTTCCTCTTGTTGCCCAGGCTGGAGTGCAATGGCATGATCTCGGCTCACCGCAACCTCCGCCTCAAGGGTTCAAGCGATTCTCCTGCCTCAGCCTCCCGAGTAGCTGGGATTAGAGGCATGCACCACCACACCCGGCTAATTTTGTATTTTTAGTAGAGACAGGGTTTCTCCATGTTGGTCAGGCTGGTCTTGAACTCCTGACCTCAGGTGACGCACCTGCCTTGGTCTCCCAAAGTGCTGGGATTATAGGCGTGAGCCACCATGCCTGGCCAATTGAGCAGTTTTTCATGTTTCTTGGCTCCTCAAGTTTATTCTTTAGTGAATTTCCAGCTTCGGTATTAGGACCTAATAGACATCTACAGAACTCTCCACCCCAAATCAACAGAATATACATTTTTTTCAGCACCACACCACACCTATTCCAAAATTGACCACATACCTGGAAGTAAAGCTCTCCTCAGCAAATGTAAAAGAACAGAAATTATAACAAACTATCTCTCAGACCACAGTGCAATCAAACTAGAACTCAGGATTAAGAATCTCACTCAAAACCACTCAACTACATGGAAACTGAACAACCTGCTCCTGAATGACTACTGGGTACATAACGAAATGAAGGCAGAAATAAAGATGTTCTTTGAAACCAACGAGAACAAACACACAACATACCAGAATCTCTGGGACACATTCAAAGCAGTGTGTAGAGGGAAATTTATAGCACTAAATGCCCACAAGAGAAAGCAGGAAAGATCCAAAATTGACACCCTAACATCACAATTAAAAGAACTAGAAAAGCAAGAGCAAACGCATTCAAAAGCTAGCAGAAGGCAAGAAATAACTAAAATCAGAGCAGAACTGAAGGAAATAGAGACACAAAAAACCCTTCAAAAAATTAATGAATCCAGGAGCTGGTTTTCTGAAAGGATCAACAAAATAGATAGACTGCTAGCAAGACGAATAAAGAAGAAAAGAGAGAAGAATCAAATAGACGCAATAAAAAATGATAAAGGAGATATCACCACCGATCCCACAGAAATACAAACTACCATCAGAGAATACTACAAACACCTCTACGCAAATAAAGTAGAAAATCTAGAAGAAATGGATGAATTTCTCGACACATACACCCTCCCGAGACTAAACCAGGAAGAAGTTGAATCTCTTTTTTTTTTTTAATTAATTTATTTATTTCTTTACACATAAATGAAAGTGATGTTACAGTACATAAGTTATTTACAACTGTGCAGTAATGTGTTGCAAAATAAATTATCTAGAAGGCAGCAAAAGTACATTGTGAAGGTATATAAAACTGTACAGCGTTTACGGATACACTTTTTATATGATTATTGGCTCTGTAGTGTTTCAAGTTACGTTCTCAGAAAGAGAAACAAAATGCCCAAGATTAAAGGAAAGAAGATACAAACCACGCGGATTTGACTCCATTTCAATACGGCTGGGAGTCCTGGCTCTGTGTCCCTCCGCCTCGCTCCGCACCAGGTCTGAAGCCCAGTCTGAGGCCGTCGCAGCTCGGCGGCAACAGAACCACGGCTGGGATGGGGCTCCTGCCCCTCCGACCTGCAGGTCACTGTTTGTGAGAGGTGGACACCTTAATTTTCTTTAGTTGATCAGAATGGAACAAAAAATTTTAAAAATGTACTCCGTTCTCCAACTCCTGAAATGCCTCTGCAGTTGCTGGAGAAAAGGGCCCGAAGGTCGCCGTTTTCAAACAGAAGCTGCCGTGTGTGCGCGCCCGGCATGGTCTCCTCATCCCGCCGGGGCCAGTGAGGCTCTGGGGGCTTTGCCCCCGCCGCGGCAGCTGGTAGAGAAGAGACGTGTTTCACCTCCCCGACGTCTGGACCAGTCTGGAAGGGATGGAGGCGCTGTGGCCAAGTGCAGTCTCTCTCGGGGTCTCTCCCCGCCCGGGTGGACAGGGCGCTCCCTCCTCCGCCCCTGGGGCTCAGCAGCAGTCCTGGGCAGCCGTGCGGCCCTCGCCTGCGTCCTGCGGCCGTCCCGCGGTGTCATGCCGGCAACAATACAAAGTCGTCGTTGACGTCGACCATGGGCACGTAGAAGGAGGGCACCTCGTTCACGCACAGGGACTTGTGCCCGGCGGGGTCCAGTTCCTGCACCTTCAGCTGCCACTCCATCCTCTGCACGGCGTTCAGGGCCGCGGCCTCGTGCTGCTGCCGCATGAGGAGGCAAGTCTTCATGCGGTCATACTTGTCATCCACGTCCTGGAGCCAGGAGATGAACTGGCGGGCGTTGAAACGGTCGCGCACTGACTTGTTCTCGTCACCCTGGCTCTCCAGGGGCATGTTGTAGACCTCGGAGTCCAGCAGCATCGTGCAGGTGCTGAATGGCACTGCCTGGTTGGCGATGGTCCTGGCCGCCCGGCAGTGAACCCGCAGAATCTCCTGCTCACAGGATACGATCAGCTTCTCCCTCTCGATGCTGTGCTGTAGACGCAGCTTTCCCCGGACGGCCTCCTGCTGCCTGAACAGCTCCTTCAGGGGCTCCGCCAGGGAGGGAGGGGGTGCGATCACGGGGATGTGGAGCTTGCTGAGCGGCTTGCCGTCCAGGAGGTAGGAGCCCGTGTAGGTGACGTACTGGGCGTACCACTGGGGCGCCTGCGGCGTGATACAGCACAGGATCTTGCGCTTCTCCTCGATCTTCTTCCTGATCTGCAGGTATTCGAAGTAGGGGTTGGCCCTGTCGCTGTGGTAGGGCTCGATGGCATCCAGCTTGATGGCGTCCACGATGGCGGCCAGCGTCTGCTGGATCACCTCCCTCGTCTGCTGCGTGGACGTGTTCAGCTGCTGCTGCAGCTGCTGGGTGGAGCGCTGAAAGCGGCGTTTGCGCGGATGCTGGGCCTGGGCGTCGTCGTCCTCGGAGCCGCGGGCCTTGGCCCTGGTGACCGGGGCAGGGGTGGGGGCGCACTCCTTCTCGGAGGGGGGCGGGCCCTGCTTGCTCTGGTTCGCGAGCATCTGCGCCCGGTTCCTGGTCATGCGCTGAGGGATCTCCTCCACTCGGGGGGCCTTCGGGGCTTCGGCCGTGGGTTTTGGTTCTGCGGCTTCCGGCTGGATGCCGCCAGGAGGGCCTTCGGCTGGGGCGGCGGCACGGGAGGCCTCAGTGTCGTCCTCGGGGCCGGCACCGTCTGCGGCCTGAGCTTGTGCCACAGTGTTCGGGGCGGGGCCGTAGTTGAATCTCTGAATAGACCAATAACAGGATCTGAAATTGTGGCAATAATCAATAGCTTACCAACCAAAAAGAGTCCAGGACCAGATGGATTCCTAGCCGAATTCTACCAGAGGTACAAGGAGGAACTGGTACCATTCCTTCTGAAACTATTCCAATCAATAGAAAAAGAGGGAATCCTCCCTAACTCATTTTATGAGGCCAGCATCATCCTGATACCAAAGCCGGGCAAACACACAACCAAAAAAGAGAATTTTAGACCAATATCCTTGATGAACATTGATGCAAAAATCCTCAATAAAATACTGGCAAAACGAATCCAGCAGCACATCAAAAAGCTTACCCACCATGATCGAGTGGGCTTCATCCCTGGGATGCAAGGCTGGTTCAATATACGCAAATCAATAAATGTAATCCCGCATATAAACAGAACCAAAGACAAAAACCACATGATTATCTCAATAGATGCACAAAAGGCCTTTGACAAAATTCAACAACCCTTCATGCTAAAAACTCTCAATAAATTAGGTATTGATGGGACGTATTTCAAAATAATAAGAGCTATCTATGACAAACCCACAGCCAATATCATACCGAATGGGCAAAAACTGGAAGCATTCCCTTTGAAAACTGGCACAAGACAGGGATGCCCTCTCTTACCACTCCTATTCAACATAGTGTTGGAAGTTCTGGCCAGGGCAATTAGGCAGGAGAAGGAAATAAAGGGTATTCAATTAGGAAAAGAGGAAGTCAAATGGTCCCTGTTTGCAGATGACATGATTGTATATCTAGAAAACCCCATTGTCTCAGCCCAAAATCTCCTTCAGCTGATAAGCAACTTCAGCAAAGTCTCAGGATACAAAATCAATGTACAAAAATCACAAGCATTCTTATACACCAACAACAGACAAACAGAGAGCCAAATCATGAGTGAACTCCCATTCACAATTGCTTCAAGGAGAATAAAATACCTAGGAATCCAACTTACAAGGGATGTGAAGGACCTCTTCAAGGACAACTACAAACCACTGCTCAAGGAAATAAAAGAGGATACAAACAAATGGAAGAACACTCCATGCTCATGGGTAGGAAGAATCAATATCGTGAAAATGGCCATACTGCCCAAGGTAATTTACAGATTCAATGCCATCCCCATCAAGCTACCAAAGACTTTCTTCACAGAATTGGAAAAAACTATTTTAAAGTTCATATGGAACCAAAAAGGAGCCCGCATCACCAAGTCAATCCTAAGCCAAAAGAACAAAGCTGGAGGCATCACACTACCTGACTTCAAACTATACGACAAGGCTACAGTAACCAAAACAGCATGGTACTGGTACCAAAACAGAGATGTAGATCAATGGAACTGAACAGAGCCCTCAGAAATAACGCCTTTCATTATTGATTTGGAAAACAGTTTTTATACACTGCAGATGTTAACTTTGTGTGACCCGTGTAGATTGAAAATAATTTTTCCATGTTTGTGGATAGTCTTTTGACATGCTTTATAGTGTCTTCAGACACACATATATTGTTATTTTAACATAGTGGTTTTTTCTCTATTGCTTATGTTTTTTTTATTTTATTATTATTACACTTTAAGTTTTAGGGTACATGTGCACAATGTGCAGGTTAGTTACATATGTGTACATGTGCCATGCTGGTGTGCTGCACCCATTAACTCGTCATTTAGCATTAGGTATATCTCCTAAAGCTATCCCTCCCCCCTTCCCCCCACCCCACAGCAGTCCCCAGAGTGTGATGTTCCCCTTCCTGTGTCCATGTGTTTTCATTGTTCAATTCCCACCTATGAGTGAGAATATGCGGCGTTTGGTTTTTTGTTCTTGCGATAGTTTACTGAGAATGATGATTTCCAATTTCATCCATGTCCCTACAAAGGACATGAACTCACCATTTTTATGGCTGCATAGTATTCCATGGTGTATATGTGCCACATTTTCTTAATCCAGTCTATCATTGTTGGACATTTGGGTTGGTTCCAAGTCTTTGCTATTGTGAATAGTGCCGCAATAAACATATGTGTGCATGTGTCTTTATAGCAGCATGATTTATAGTCCTTTGGGTATATACCCAGTAATGGGATGGCTGGGTTAAATGGTATTTCCAGTTCCAGATCCCTGAGGAATCGCCACACTGTCTTCCACAATGGTTGAACTAGTTTACAGTCCCACCAACAGTGTAAAAGTTTTCCTGTTTCTCCACATCCTCTCCAGCACCTGTTTGTTTCCTGACTTTTTAATGATTGCCATTCTAACTGGTGTGAGATGGTATCTCATTGTGGTTTTGATTTGCATTTCTCTGATGGCCAGTGATGGTGAGCATTTTTTCATGTGTTTTTTGGCTGCATAAATGTCTTCTTTTGAGAAGTGTCTGTTCATGTCCTTCGCCCACTTTTTGATGGGGTTGTTTGTTTGTTTTTTTCTTGTAAATTTGTTTGAGTTCATTGTAGATTCTGGATATTAGCCCTTTGTCAGATGAGTAGGTTGTGAAAATTTTCTCCCATTTTGTAGGTTGCCTGTTCACTCTGGTGGTAGTTTCTTTTGCTGTGCAGAAGCTCTTTAGTTTAATTAGATCCCATTTGTCAATTTTGGCTTTTGTTGCCATTGCTTTTGGTGTTTTAGACATGAAGTCCTTGCCCATGCCTATGTCCTGAATGGTAATGCCTAGGTTTTCTTCTAGCGTTTTTGTGGTTTTAGGTCTAATGTTTAAGTCTTTAATCCATCTTGAATTAATTTTTGTATAAGGTGTAAGGAAGGGATCCAGTTTCAGCTTTCTACATATTGCTTATGATTTTTCATGTTATGTTAAATCCTTCCTTAGCCTGCAATCATAATACTATTTTCTATTTTGTGTTGAAAATATTGAAGCTTTTCTTTTTCACCTTTTTGCCACCAACCCCAATGTTGAAGAATCCGTCCTTTTCCTACTGATTAGTGATGTCAGTCCCGTCATTATCTGTTAACATTTCCTATGTTTAGATTGGTTTCTGGGCTTTCTGCTCTTTTTTTTTTTTGGTCTGTTGTCTCATATTCATATTAATATATTAATTAACATGCCCTTATAATAAATGTTTATATTGCTTAGGACAAGCATGCTCACTTTATTTGTCTAATTTAGAACTATCTTAAATTTTCTTGGCTCTTTGTCCTTTGATATAAAGTTTAGAATCAGCTTGTTAAATTACATAAAAACTTGTTGGAATTATCATTACAATTGCATTGACTTCATAGGTCATTTGGGGAAGAATTAACTTTTCCCCCCAATATTTAGGCTTCAAATGCATACGTTTTCAATTATTTATGAAGACTTTAATTTGTTTCAGAAAAGTTCATGTTTTTCTTCCTAAGAGCTTTGCATATCGTTTGTTAAATTTATTTTTTTATAACACACAGTTTGAAGGCTACTGTAAATGACATATTGTTAATATTACATTTTCTAACTCTTTGTTGCTCACATATAGGAATGTAGTTGATTTCTTTGTATTATCCAGCAACCTTTACTTAAGATCTTCTTAAGATTTATAATGCCTTTTTGTGCATTGTCACGTGGTTGCTCTCAATCGCCATCCTCCTGCAAATAAGAAAAAGCTATTTTATTCCTTTCTATATCTATCTATCTATCTATCTATCTATCTATCTATCTATCTATATCTTTTTCAACTCTTATTGACTGACTAGCCCAAGCTTGATGTTTTAGAGAAGCAGTGAGTGTATCTATCATCACGTCGTTTCTCATTTTGAAAGGAATGCAACTACTATTACATCATTTATTTTATTGATCACCATGTAATTTATCACCCATACCAGGACCTTTTATGAAAATGTGTATGTATTAGATTTTCTAATTTTGCTGTAACACATTAGCATGAACATAGCGACTTTAAACAAGAAAACTTTATTATCTACCATTCTTGAGTTCAGAAGTCCAAAATGGGTTTCCCAGGACTAACATTAAGCTGTTGGCAGGGCTGTGTTGCCTCTGAAGGCTGTAGGCTTCCCTGCCTTTTCCAGCTGCTGGAGGCTGTCTTGGTTTGTGGCCTCCTTTCTCCATCTTCAAAGCTATAAACATTACAGCTCTCTGACCACTTTCTAGTAATCATATTCTCTCTGATTCTTTTTTTTTCTGTTTTCCTTGTTCAATTTTAAAGACACTTAAAACTCTGTTGGAATTATAATTGCAATGGAGTCAAATTTATACATCATCTTAGGATGAACTTTTTTATTATTTGGTGTACCTGGATAATCTAGGATTATCTCTCTATTTAAAAAAGGCCGCTGATTAACCATCTGAATTTTATCTGTAACCTTAATTTTCCTTTACCATGTAATGTAACGTATTCACAAATTCTGGTAATTAGGGTGTGACCCTTTTATGGGGTGCTATTCTCCCTACCACAAGGTACAATTAATAATCACACCAAGACCCAGGTATTAACATATTTTTTCATGCAGCTAGTTCCATATGATCATCCTAATTGTGTATGCTATCTAGTGCATTTTTCTTTGTAGATAGATAGACTTTATCAAGTGGAGAAAGCACCCTTATAACCCAATTTGGTAAATCTTACATCAATATATTCAACGTTAAAATCATCTCTATATTATTCTATAATAATTCTAATTTGTACGTAGGGGTTGTGTGTGTGTGTGTGTGTGTGTGTGTGTGTGTGTGAATTTAGTTCGTTTATATTATTTAAGGATTTTGCATCTATATTCATAAGGGTCACTGCTTTTTATTTTATTTGGCAATTCTTCTCTGGTTATAAAATTTATGCTACCTTGTAAATTTCATTCAGGATATTCCAACTTTTTCTATTCTTTGAGGGAACTCTAGATTAATTCATATATTTCACTTAACCTTGAATGTGTCTTGGAAAATTCTAATTTTCTAAAGAGAAATTCCATTTTATCTAACTTTACAAATCTACTGGCATACAATTGTTTAAAATAAATATTATATTTTTTTCAAATACTTGCCTTGTTTTAATTCACAATATTGCTTTCTGTACTTCCTTTTTCATCCCTTTTGGCCGAGTTTTATCTATTTTATTATTATTTTGAGAGAAGAACCCTTTGGCTCATTTGATTCTTACTATTATATATTTTTTCTCTTTTATTTCTGCACTTTCATTAATTATTTTCTTCTTTCTACTTCCTTTGAGTTAATCATACTGTTCTTCAACATATTTTGTAGGATGTTTACTTAATTAATTTTCAGCATACTTTTCTACTATTAGCACTTCATGCTATAAATTTTATTTAAGTATCTTTTATCTGCAGCCTGAAAGATTTATATATATGATTTTATTATCAAGTATTTATAAATGTATTCTAATTAATTATCATGAGTAATTTGGCAGGTGCCTTTAAATGTTGATATGTGTGTGGCTTTTATCTATTTATTGATATGTAGATTTTTGTAAATATTGCACACATCCTTGAAAAGAATGTGCATCTTTGATTTGACAGTACAAATTCCCATATGTGTCCATTAGCTTCAGTTAATTATGTTATTCTAAGTTTTCCTATCTTTTCTATTTTTTTTTGTAAAAATTTGTATTGCTGTACATAAATGTAACAGTTATTACATATTGAGGTAACCCCATATTTTCATTTTCATTTGGATGAAATCACTGAGTCAATTCTTGGCATATTTGTAGCACTTATATAAAAAGAATAGTTTGGTGAAGTTTTACTTTTTTTTAGTGAGAATGGATGCTTAAAAGAGACTAGTTTTTTTTTTTTTACTTTATTTTTCTCTACCTTTTAATAAAGACTAAAAGCTTTCTAAGGTCGGTGCTAAAGTAAGACCATCTATGTTCATAATTAAGAAAGGCATTGCTCTATTAATAAAATAAGTTACACTAGAGGTCCTCCTTAATTTATATGTGCTTGATGTGTCATTTACTGAACAGAAGTGTATTAAAATGACCTATGTACCAGGCAGAATTCTAAGACTCCCCCCCACAAGATTCCTGGCCCCTACTATACATACCTCTTCATTATTCATTTAGATCCTAATGTAGGTACTGCTATGAAGTAACTGACTGAATGTAATTAGGATGTCAAATTAACCTTAGGATAAGGAGATTATCTGGGTAGGTCTGACCTAATCATGTGATCCCTTTAAACATAGTTTTCTCCAAGGATTTTAGATGAGGAAGTCACTGTGAATTGCTAATGTGGGCCCTGTGGTTCTGAACTTTGGGAGGCTTCCAGGAAGTGAGAGTGGTCTCAGACCAATAGCTTATGGGGGAGAAAGGACCTTTGTCCTTCCACCACAGGAAAATGAATTCACTAATAACCAATAAACCTGGAAGAAGATTCTAAGCCCCAGATAAAAAACTCAGCCATAACCAACATTTTGTTTTTAGCCCCTTGAGAGCTTGAACAGAGAATCCAGCCACAGTTTGGCCAGACTTCTCACCTACAAAATGTATGAGCTAATAAATTGGTGCTCTTTTAAAGTTTCAAAGTTTGTGGTAATTGATTATACAAGAGTAGAAAACTGATACAAGGTATGATGCCTATAATGGTTTTTGTTCTTCATGGTTATTTTATTTGGAGCATAATATCATATCATCTATGTACTGAGTGTTATATATAAGGCATCAACTCAGTGAATCTCTTACTCAGGCATGTCCTTATCTCCTGACACTTATTATAATGGGTCTTACTCTATATACCACAGTTCCCTAACTTGAATACTCATTTTTCACTCGATCTCTATCATAATCTAAACAGTGGCTTTATAAATTACCGTATGTATAGACCAAAAATAAAATTCTAAGGCCCACCAACCATCTGAATGGACTTTCCCCTCAGCCAGGGTGCTTTCAAAATTTAACCTGAGAGACTGGTTCAGGCCATGATGTGGAGTTGGACGTGCCTCATTATTCCTTTGCAGTATTACTGTCAACACAGACCTTTAAGTCTGATAAGAAGCATTTACAATCTACTCTCTCTGAAGCCTGCTACCTGGAGGCTTCATCTGCATGGTTAGACTTTGGTCTCCGCAACCTTTTATCACCACCCAGACATTTCCTTTCTATTGATTCCAGGTCTTCAGATAAACTCAACCAATTGTCAACCAGAAAATTTTAAATCTACCTATAACCTGAAAGCGCCCCCCTGGACCAAACCAATGTGTTTCTTAAATGTATTTTATTGAAGTCTCATGTCTCCCTAAAATGTATAAAACCAAGCTGCACCCCGGCCACCTTGGGCAAATGTTCTCAGGACCTCCTGAGGGCTGTGTCACAGGCCATGGTCACTCATGTTTGGCACAGAATAAATCTCTTCAAATATTTTACAGAGTTTGACTCTTTTGTAGACATATGGTTACCACAGTAATCAAAATTCAAAATATCAGAGTTGTAAGATTTTCATTTAGAGTCTAGGGTGAATTGAACTTGTTTTAATTTGTATATTTTATATTTTATTTGTAATTTTGTTACTTGGATGTATTGAATAGAGGTGAAGTCTTGGCTGTTAGTGTACATATTACTTGAATAATGTACACTGTACCCATTAAGTAATTTCTCCTCATCCATCCTTCCCCGTTTTCATCCCCACATCCATCCCAGTCTCCAGTGTCTTTCAGTCCACACTGCTGTGAGCAATGACTGTTTGGGGCCGGTTTCCCAGGTGGTAAGAGAATTTACCAAGACAGAAATAAAACAACAGAAGAGAATGTTTAGGGAGGAACACTGCTATATAGTAGCAATAGACAGTAGCAAGAGAGCTGCTATCTGCCAAGAGGCAGAAATGTGAGGGGGTTTTATAGGACAGTGTTGGAGGAGTCTACATGCAAGTGCGATTGTGCTATATGCTAAGAATATGTTGGGGTAATTTTTAACTGCGAGGCCTTTCCTCTCCAGGTGCCTAAGGGAAACACTCTGCTACTTTTAGCCATCTTGCAACCAGCATGCCTTCTGCTCTGGAGTTGCAAGACAATAGCTGTATTTTTTTCCACACCAAGTGGTTGCAAGTGGGATTAGGCCCCTGTTTCACCAGCATGGCTTCTTCCCAGTTCCTGTGAACTTATTGATTTATTAGGAGCCCCCATATACATTACTCAGCTCCCACTTATAAGTGAAAACATACAGTATTTTTCTTTCTGATTCTGAGTTGTTTCACTTAAGAAAATAGCCACCAGTTTCATCCATGTTGCTGTATAGTGAACTGGATTTGGAATACCATGGTATTCTGTATATATGTTATTGTCAGTTTCAGCTAACAGGGCATGACAATGGCTGTGAAAGTACAATACTCTAGTTAAGTTTCCAGAGAAAGGAATTTTCTTTTTCTTTTTTTTTTTTTTTTTTTGAGACAGAGTCTTGCTCTGTCGCCCAGGCTGGAGTGCAGTGGCAAGATCTCGGCTCACTGCAAGCTCCGCCTCCTGGGTTCATGCCATTCTCCTGCCTCAGCCTCCTGAGTAGCTGCGACTACAGGTGCCTGCCACCATGTCTGGCTAATTTTTTTTTTTTTTTTTTTTTTGTATTTTTAGTACAGACAGGATTTCACCGTGTTAGCCAGGATGGTCTCGATCTCCTGACCTCATGATCTGCCTGCCTCAGCCTCCCAAAGTGCTGGCATTACAGGCTTGAGCCACCGCACCCGGCCGAGAAAGGAATTTTCATTATTTTTTTTTCTGTGGCAGTGTAGGAAACATGGACACCAAATAACTCTAAAACATTTTATCTATAATTTCTAGTCTACGTATGCTTTAAGCCTAAGTGAACTATTATGAACATCAGTTATGTGCAAATACTGTGCTAGTTACTCTCAATTATGATATTAGTTTCTGACATAACCCTGTGTACTAGGTGGATATAATTCTAGTTTTACAGGCAAAGAAACTAAAACTAAAATAGATTAGGTAATTTCCTGAGTTCCTAAAGGTGATTGATCACAAGGCTCTTACTCCAGAACCTGAGCATTTAAATAGGTCAGTGATTTTTCATATTCACTATATAAAACTGAAGTATTTTCAGAGATATTCATATGTTCCACAAACATTTGCTTGGATTTTTATCTTAATATACAGTTGTCCCCTGGAAAACATGGGTTTGAACTGCGTGGGTCCACTTATACAAGGTGTGTCTTCCACCTTTGCCATCCCTGAGACAGTAAGACCAACTCCTCCTCTTCCTTCTCCTCCTTATCCTGCTTAAAATGAAGACGAGAAGAATGAAGACCTTTATGATGATCTACTTCTACTTAATGAATAGTAAATATATTTTATTTCCTTATGACAGTCTTAACATTTTCTTTTCTCTAGCTCACTTAATTCTAAGAATACAGTATATAATACATACAACATACAAAATATGTGTTAAGCAACTGTTTATCAGTAATTATAGGGACAGGAGGCAGAGAAATTCTGGGCAGAAGAGGGCAGGTCCCTGTTGAGGGCCCTACCCTCAAGCCTGGAACTGTGGCCCAAAGTGAGAACACGTATCCTCATTTTCCCACTTGAATGTCGCCTTTTTCAAAACCACCCATGGCCCGCCCCACCCCTCATCCTGTGCCCATTAAAAACCCCAGGCTCTGTCACCAGAGAGAGGAGAAGAGGAGAAACACCTGGACATCAGAGACTATGGTCAGAGAGAAGCAGCTTGACTTCAGAGGGACAGTTTGATGGCGTAGCTTCAGAGAGGAGTCCAGCTGGGGATGGCCAGACTCTAGGGGAAGATTACCTTCTCCCTCCATCACCTTTTCAGCTCCTCTTCTTGCTGAGAGTCACTTTCATGAGCAATAAAATCCCCAGCATTTACCATCCTTCAAATTTGTTCATGTGACCTCATTCCTCCTGAACACTGGACAAGAACTCAGGCATGGTGCAAAAGGTGCAAAAGGCTGTCACACTGACCATCCACTGAGCTGTTAACACTTAAGCTATCCGTGGATGGCAAAGCTAAAAAAGCACTGATTGTAACACTCCTTCTGGGGCTTCAGGGGTTGCGGGCATCCCCCTAGATGCTGCCGCAGGGCCAGTATGAAGTTCATTCCTTCCAGCACCCAAAAGCACTCACCCCAGCTCCTGCACCTGCTCACCTGCACACTCCCTCTCATGAGGGATTGAGCACAGTGGGTACAACTGAGTGGAGTTCACTCCTGCTGGTATCCATGCACTCCAGTTCCCACCTGTGAAGGAGTCAGGGAAAATGTCAGGCTCTGATGAATAATAGGCTTAGTTAAATATTGGGAAAATCAAAAGTAATAGTGGAGTTTTGACTGTATGGGGACACAGCACCCCAACCCCTGTATTATTCAAGAGTCAACTGTATATTGAGTATATAGTAAATTATTATTCAAACTTTCATAATATTAATAACTGGCACATTCAAATGTACCATGTACAAAAATTGTAACATGATGAAGATCAGCAGCACATTAGTTTTTGCTGCCTCATGTTCTTTTCTACTTTTGTCACCTCCCCAAATAGAAACCCATCTTGCCATTTGTCTTCTTTCGTGTTCTCATTCTTACACAGTTTTAAGATATTTTCTACCAAATAAATGTCATGTTTCTTTCCTCCCTTCTAAATTTTGTATCAATTTCTATAAAACAATCTTGGAAGCAAAGCACTACTTCTCTTATCTATTCTCAAAACTGCTCCTTTCTCACTTCTGGCATTAACAGAAACCTGACTTTTTTTGTAATACATGATCCCCCAACAGTTTACTGAAATTGAGACTTTTTCTTCTTCCACATAATGTGCACTTAAATTTGAAGAGTGTCACTAAGTATCCTCTTACACCCAACAGAGCCTCCATGCCATGAATCTATGTTTAAGTAACCATGAAGATTGCTCCGGGGCCCCAAGTCTTTCATATTCATTGACGATTTTAGTATCTGTGTCATACTTTCCCTCTCTACTTTATTTCCCACCATCATTCCTATTAACTATTGCATTCATTTGGGTGACTAGAGTTGTAACATGAATGTTCAGTTCTTTGACTTCAGCATCTACAGTCATCCTTATCTCCAGTCTTACCTTGTATCAATCTCTCTCGCGTGGTTACATTATAGACTTAATCACGACTCAGATCTTCTCCAGCTTTGAAATCTTAATGTCTAATGTTATACTGGCTTGTAATTTTACTCACATTATTATTATTATTTGACTTCAAGGAGATCTCCTAATTCTTGGTCATTATATTTTCTCCCAGGATTCTGGAGCCTCTCGGCTTTTATCTTATTTTTTACATTTTATTTTGTATACTAACATATAGCTGTTTCTCTGGTAATGCTCATTCTGATAGAAGCCAGCTTTTGTGTCAGAAGTCTGATCACCATGAGTGCACCATGTTGGAGAGGACACATTAGATGCTCCAGTCAACAGCCTGAATTGAGCTCCCAGTCAATAACCAGCATCAATTACTAGACAAGTGAATGAGCCACACTAGACATTCAACTCAGTAAAATCTTCAGTTGTCTTTGGCCCTGGCTGATATCAGACTGCAAGTATATGTGAGATCCCAAGCAGGAAGTGCCCAGTTGATTCCTAACCCACAGAATCTGTAAAAATAATAATAGGGTTGCTTTTTTATGCTACTATACTTTACTGATTTGTTAGGCATTGATAATAAAGAACAGTTTCCAATTTCAGCTGAGTCTTCAGTGAAATACTTCAATTCATTTACATGTTTTTATTTACCTACCTCTTCCAACCACCTCAATATTAATAACTATGACTTCTATCAAGTCTCCTTGGCAATCTCAACCCTGATCATGCTTGAATAAATACTCTAACTCAGAAAAGAAAAATTTGGGTCAGATCATTAAAGTGTTATATATTTGAGTTCTCTCCATTCCTACACCATCACCCCACCAGAACTAGTCCCTCTATGCACATCAAACCTCATATTTTTTCTTTATCTTCAGAAGGTAAAGTGCCCTTTCAACTGTGCCTTTTACCAGACCATCTTTATTTCTTTTCTCCTTCCTTTTCCATGTTTCCTTCCTTCCCTCCCTCCTTCCTTCCTTCTTTTCTCGTTTTATTTTTCTTGTCTTTCTTTCTGTTTTTACTGAGAACCTAAGTATATGTAAGGAACTATGCTAGACACTATGCTTATAATTACCTGTTCTAAAAAGCTTTGCCCTTTTGTAAAGGAGGGCATAATACTTTCACTACTGTGTTCTTCCATAAGCCGTCCTGTAATATTGGAGAGTTTTTCCACTTCTTCCACTGTGCTGATAACATCACTTCATCTCATAAACCTGCTCAATAACTTAACATTTTTTCACTTAGATGTAATTAACGTAACATAAAATTGACCATTATAAAGAACATCCATATTAAAACTAAGAAATACCACAAATCAATAACCTAACTCACAAATTCAGAAACTAGTAAAAGAAGAGCAAAATAAATAGAAAGCAAGCAGAAGGAAATAATACAAATTAGAGCAGAAATAAATAAAATAGGAAGTAGAAGCAATACATAAATCCAACAGTTGCCTCTTGGTAAAGATCAACAAAATTTAGAATCCTTTAGCTAGACTTTCCAGAAAAAAAAAAAAAAGAAAGAGAGTTGACTGAATTTAATAAAATCAGAAATAAAAGAGACATCGCTACTAGTTTATAGAAAGAAAAAATAGTATAAGGGAATAGTATAAACAATTATATGACAACAGATTATCTAACCTAATCAGTATGGACAAATTCCTAAATAGATACAAAGCCAACATAGGGAGAAATAGATAATCATTGTAGACCTGAATTGGCAATTTGAATACTTCCCACAGATGAAAGCACAGGACCAGATAGCTTCCCTGATAAATTCTATAAAATCTAAACAAAAATCAGTACAAATCCTTCACAAACTCTTTCAAAAATTATATAAGGAGAGACGACTTGCCACCTTCTATGAGGCTAGTAGTACCCTGATAGCAAAACCAGACAAAGACATCATGAGAAAGAAAAAAAAAAGAATACAGATATTTCTTATGAATATTGGCTCATGATTCCTAAAGAAAATACCAGCTACCTGAATCAAGCAAAATATGAAAAAATAAATTATACCCAAAGACCAAATGGAATTTATCCTGCACCTCAAGTTTGGTTTGACATCCAAAAATCAATCAATGTATTACACCATAGGACGAACAAAAAATAAAAGACCTTCTTGACACAAGAAAAGCGTTTGACAAATTCAACACTTAAGAACTGAGGAATAGAAGGTAACCTCCTCAAGGTGCTAGAAACCATCTACAAAATACCTGCAGCTAATATCAGAATTAACAGTGAGACTACATGATTTCCCTCTAAGATCAGGAAGAAGACAAAGATGTCTGCTCTTAAAATTCCTAATCAACATTGTACTGGAGGTTCTAGCCAGTGCAATTGCATAAGAAAAGGCAATAAAAGGCATTCAGACAGTAACAAAAGAAATAAAAGTACATTTGAAGATGACATAATCTTGAATATAGAAAATCCTAGGTAATTTATTGAAATCCTGTTAGAAATAATAAACATAAAAACATAATAAAAATAATGCACTTAGAATTAATCTTAAAATGACCCAAACACAAAAATCTATTTACAATATCATCAAAAAGAATAGAATACTTGTGAATAAATATATCTAAATAAATGCAAGGCCTGTATACAGAAAACCACAAAGCATCAGTAAAATAATTCAAAGACCAAATTAAAAGGAAAAAAACGCCTCATGCTCATGGATTGGAAGACATAATATTGTTAAGATGGCAATATTTTAAAAGTTGTTCTACAGATTAAATGCTTTTCCTGCCAAAATCCAAGCTGTCATTTATTTGCAGAAATTGATAGGCCAATTATAAAATTTATAATGAAATACAAGTGTAGGTGTATTAGTTCTCTATTGCTTATGAAACAATTTACCAAAAAATTAGTTACTTAAATAACACGAATACCAGACTACATTCCTCTGGAAATGCTAGGATAAATGCACTTCCTTGCCTTTTCCAGCTTCTAGAAGCTGCCCCCATTCATTGACTTGTGGATTTATCATTCTGATTTCTATTTATGTTGTTAAATTTCCTTCTTTGAGTCTGACCACACTGTTTTCTTCTTATAAGTATTCTTGTAATTATGTTGGGCCTACCTAAATAATAGTGATAAACTCTTCATTTTGAGATAGTTATCTTTATTACATACGCAAAGTCCCTTTTGCCATGCAATGTAACGTATTCAGAGGCTCTGGGGATTAGAATATCTGTGGAGGGTGAAAATTCTGTCTACCAGATCAAGAGATTCAGAATAGCCAAAAAATGTATTTTAAAAAGCAAAGTCTCAGGACGCACATTTCCTGGTTTCAAAACTTATCACAAAGCTCTAATAATTAATACCATATGATACTGGCATAAGGGTAGACATATAAATCAATGAAATATAATTGAGAGTCCAAAAATAAACCCTTAGTTTTATAGTCAGTTGATTTTTGTCAGCCGTGCCGAGACAACTCAATAGGGGAAAATAGTATTTTCATAAAATGGTGCTGAGACTACTGAACATGCAAGAGAATGAAAATGGAACTCTGTCTCACAAGATGTAAAAAATGAACATGAAATACATAAAATTCCCTAATTATGAGAGCTAAAACTATAAAACTCTTAGACAAGTGTACTTCTAGAAGTAAATAGAAGTAAACCTTTATGACCTTGAGTTAGGCAATGATTTTATAGATATGAAATCAAAAGGAGAAATGACAAAAGAAAAATAGGTAAGTTGGATTTCATAAAAATTAAAAACTTTGTCATTCAAAGGATATCATCAAGAGACAAACAAAATGGGAGAAAACTTTTACAAATTATTTATGTGATAAAGAATTTATATCCAGAATATATAAAGAACTATAATTCAAAAATGAGAAGATAAATAACATAATTTAAAAATGTGTAAAAGATTCTAATAGCTATTTCTTCAAAGAAGATTAAACAAATGACCAATACATGCATGAAAAGATGATCAAAATAATTAGTCATCAAGAAAATGCAAAGCAAAACTACAGTGAGATTTATATCATCACACCCACTAGGATGGCTATAATGAAAAAGATGTAAAATAACAATTGTTGTTTAGAATAGAGAGAAATTGGAGTCCTCATATATTGCTCGTGGGACTGTAACATGCTATAGCCTCTGTGGAAAACAATCTGTCAGTTTCTCAAAATATTAAATATAAAGTTTTCACATGACCAACAATTCTACTCCTGGGTATGCAACCAAAAGAAATGAAAACTTAAGAACACACAAGGATGTGTGTGTGTGTATGTTCATAGCAGCAATATTTACAATTGCCAGAAAATGGAAGCAACCTAATATCTATCACTTGCTGAATGGATAGGAAAAATTTGTATGTCAATACAATGTAATGCTGTTTGACAATACAAATAACAAAGTACTGATACATGCTGTAACACAGATGAGCTTTGATTTCATTATGCTAATTATAGAATCCAGACACAAATGCCACATGTTGTACAATTCCATGTACACAAAATTTCCAGAATTAATAATTTTTTAGATAATAAATGTAAGATTATTGACAATCTAGGGCTGGGGTGCTGGGGGAATGGAGAGTGACTATTATGTTGTGTAAGATTTATTTTAGAAGTGGTGAAAATTGTCTAAAATTGCTAGCGGTGATGGTTGCACAACTCTGTAAATATATTAAAAAATTTTAAATCACGTACTTTAAATGTGTGAATTGTGTGTTATGTAACTCACATCTCAATAGATATAAAATGTATAAAATATAGGTTTTATATCTCAATTTAATTTTTAAAAAATTAAATGAAGATTAGAAAGACAGACAACAGCATGCTATGAGAAAGCCACCACGATACTATATAATGCCCAAAGTGTTGTAACTACTCATATTTAATATGCGTAATATTCAGAAACCATGTGCACCATAATTCCATGGAATAACTCCACAGGACATTTAGGTATACCTAACCTGATTTCGAAGTGTACTTTTTCAATTTCTCTGGGCATGCAGATGCTGACATTAGTATGGGATTATGAAAAGTCTGAAATAAATGCTGTTTACATTTCGAATTTTCTTTGTATTAAAAAAGAAGAGGAGGTAATTCATGATAACTTTCTGGTGAGACAGAGCTTACAGCACAACTGGATCTGGATGGAGCCAAATTAATAAATGAAAACTGGGCCAGGCACGGTGGCTCACGCCTGTAATCCCAGCGCTTTGGGAGGCTGAAGGGCGAGGATCACCTGAGGTCAGGAGTTCGAGACCAGCCTGGCCAACATGGCAAAACTTTGTCTCTACTAAAAATACAAAAATTAGCTGGGCATAGTGGTGCACACCCGTGATCCTAGCTATTTGGGAGGCTGAGGCAGGAGAATAGCTTGAACCTGGGAGGCGGAGGTTGCTGTGAGTCAAGATTGCACCACTGCACTCCAGCCTGGGCAATGGAGTGAGACTCCATCTCAAAAAATAATAATAAAATAAAATTAAATGAAAATGGAACATTTTATTTATTATGTAGGGGTTTCTACATGTTCGAGTACATTCTAACAGCTAAGTGTATAAAGTGTCTAGATTATTAGTGAAACTTTTCATTTTTTCTCAGGCTTTTCACTATATTGCTGGTCCAGGTTTTGTCTATTAGTCTGGGATACATCAGAGGCAATCATGACTTATGAACGAGTGTGTAGGAGTCGTACTCCTGGCCAAGTTATTTGTACATCTGTTGAGTTTGATAGAAAATTTTAGCCATAAACTTTAACAAACTGAAAAAAAAATATCCTAGCTTATAAACATAACTCTAGCCTTTGTTTAAGACCATATGCTCTGCCTGGTATTAAGAGAAGAGGTCACTAGCAATTCTAATACCATTCTGTCTGTAATTCATGAAGTCAGCTGGATGAATGGCAAGGAAAGCTAAAAAAAATCATTCATCATCTTTGTTGATACTGAACTTATGCAAAGCCCATAGAGTACCACAAAGCCATTTAGATGCATTTTCCGTGAAAAGAAATTGCATCACTAAGGATTCCAGGCCAAGAACAAAGTAGTAGAGAAAATCGTGCTGCTTCAGCTGAAGAATTTCAAAGATAATTTAATCTCCAAAGGACATCTCACAGACTGAATTCAGAACATCACTTAGCATACGCAGCCATGTTGTGCTGCTACTATATCAAGAAGATTGCTCATGCTAATTGAAAAGAATGAAAAACACAGTAACTAATGAAAAGATAGAATGTCTCCTTCATGTCTCCACCATTTGCCTAAGTAGTCTGTCTTCTTGTATGTTGATAATCACTAATGATATCAAATATAGCTAATAAAATTACTTACATTTTGAAATCTGACAATATACAACAGCAAATTTTATTTAACTCCAAACTAACTCCCTATTTAAATGAAGGATCCTCAGAAATATTCAAATAAGCCAACAATATTTTCAACAGTAATTTACTTTGGAAAAAATGATGTTAATGGAAAGAACATATAATTAAAGGACATCTCAACACTGTTATCTGACATATGCTTTAAACTAGTTTAGAACAGCAATATCCAATAGAAACATAATGTGAGCCTCATATGTAATTCTATTTTCTAGAAGCCACATTAAAAAGGTAAAAGGAAATAGGTTGAATTATTTAATAGTATATTTTATCTAACCCAATATATCTAAAATATTAACATTTAAAACATATACCAAATATAAATATTAATTAGATATTTTACATTGTGTTTTCATAATATGTCTTCAGAACATGCCAGTTATTTTAAATTTGTATTACATCTCAATGTGGGCAGGCCACATTCTAAATGTTTGATAGCCACATGTCATTAGTGGCTCATGCATTGTACAGCACGGGCTAGATTGTATAAGATATACAGAAGAATATCTTCTGATTTAACATCAATAATTCCATATTGGTCGTTGGTCAGCATTTGGCTATGATACTAAATAAAGCACATCCAGAGGGCAATTGAGAAGTAATTTAGTGTGGCATTGTTTTTAACTGTGAACTACTGAGTAGAAGATTTGAATATGACTGTAGAATAGATTTTTGAGTCTCAACACTATTATTGTTCCTCTGTCCTGCTTACTGATAGCTGCAATGACAAAAGATATAACTTACTGAAATGTCCTATTCTTATTTTAATTATTTAATAATTTGTTGATTACACAAGTGTCTATTGGTAATCAAGGCCTCTTGAGCGCGGAGGTATGGCTATGTCATTGGTTTTGTTCTTCCTCGTTTATGTTTTCTGAGGATGCTCATTAACATCAATGTACTGAGTGCCTTATCCCAAGGCCTCTTATGATTGACCAGAGAATGGGTAAGTCTTAAATAAAGGACATCTTAAGGAACACAGGGTTAGAGACCAGACAAATTATTGGTATGGTTAAATTTAACACCTTGCATATGGATGGGGTGAACTTTGCTACCAAGCAGGCTGAGGCATGAACTACAGCAAGGATCTCACTACATTACTTAATCAACACAGACAAGAAACTACTGAAAATCAGAATTTGGGGCCTGGGAATTATGCTAGGCTTCAAAATTTAAACAGTTCTAAACTAGTTTAAATTGAGTTTGGGGATAATTTGGGAACTGAGAAATCACAATCTTCAGTGCCCCTCATTACACAAGACAGAAACCTAGATAGTGTTGCGGGAAGTCAGGGACTGCGAACGAAGGGACCAGCTGAAGCCATTGCAGAAGAACATAAATTGTGAAGATTCCATGGACATTTATTAATTCCCCAAATTAATAAATTTTTATAATTTCTTTTATAATTCTTTTATTTTCTTTTATTTTATATAATTTTATATAAAATTTTTTATATCTTTTATTTTATATAATTCTTTTATATTCTTTTATTTTTATAAATTCTTTTATAATTTCTTATGCCTGTCTTTACTGCAGTCTCTCAACATAAATTGTGAAGATTTCATGGACATTTATCACTTCCCCAATCAATACTCTTGTGATTTCCTATGCCTGTTTTTACTTTAATCTCTTAATCCCATCATCTTCATAAGCTGAGGATGAATGTCACCTCAGGACACTGTGATGATTGCGTTAACTGCACAAATTGTTTAAACAATATGAAATCTGGGCACCTTGAAAAAAGAACAGGATAACAGCGATCTTCAGGGAACAAGGGAGACAACCTTAAAGTCTGGCTGCCTGTGGGTTGGATGGAACAGAGCCATGTTTCTCTTCTTTCAAAAGCAAATAGGAGAAATATCACTGAATTCTTTTTCTCAGCAAGGAACATCCCTGAGAAAGAGAATGTGTTCCCAAGAGGAGGTCTCTGAAATGGCCGCTTTGGGAACATCTGTCTTTTATGGTTGTAAATAATGGATGAAATAAGCCCCAGTCTCCCGTAGTGCTCCCAGGCTTATTAGGACGAGGAAATTCCTGCCTGATAAATTTTGGTCAGACCGGTTTTCTGCTCTCAAACCCTGTCTCCTGATAAGATGTTATCAATGACAGTATGTGCCCGAAACTTCACTGGCAATTTTAATTTCGCCCTGTTCCTGTGATCTCACCCTGCCTCCATTTGCCTTGTGATATTTTACTACTTTGTCAACCATGTGATCTCTGTGACCCACACCCTATTCATACACTCCCTCCTCTTTTGAAAATCACTAATAAAAACTTGCTGGTTTTACGGCTTGGGGCATCACGGAACCTGCTGACATGTGATGTCTCCCCCGGACACCCAGCTTTAAAATTTCTCTCTTTTGTACTCTTTCCCTTTATTTCTCAGACTGGCCGACACTTAGGGAAAATAGAAAAGGACCCACATGAAATATTGAGGGTTGGATTTCCCCCAATAAGATACTACTTTTAACTCTTTCTTCCTATTTACCACTCAGGACTGTCAATTTCACCACCAACAGTGAAGACCCCTGCTATAATCTGTCATGGATTCTACTTTAATTTTCTTTCTTTTTTTTTTTTGAAACAGTGTCTCGATCTCAGCTCACTGCAACCTCCGCCTCCCGGGTTCAAGTAATTCTCTGCCTCAGCCTCATGAGTAGCTGCGATTAGAGGCACTTGACACCATGCCTGGCTAATTTTTGTACTTTTAGTAGACACAGGATTTCACCATTTTGGCCAGGCTGGTCTTGAACTCCTGACCTCGTGATCCACCCACCTCTGCTTCCCAAACTGCTGAGATTACAGGCATGAGCCACCGTACCAGACCAATTTTCTCTTTTATCAACTATCTTCAGTATTTAGTATTATTTTTTGCTTGGTGATATGGTTTGTCTTTGTGTCGCCACTTAAATCTCATCTTTAATTGTAATCCCCACATGTTGAGGGAGGGACTTGTTGGGAGGGGATTGGATCATGGGGGTGCAGTTTCCCACATGCTGTTCTTATGATAGTGAGAGAGTTTTCACAAAATCTGGTGGTTTTATAAGCGTCTGACACTTTCCTCTGCCTTTGCTGTCTCTCCTGCCACCTTGTGAAGAAGGTCCCTGCTTCCCCTTTGCCTTCCTCCCTGATTGTAAGTTTCCTGAGGCCACCCCAGTCATGTAGACCTGTGAATCAATTAAACCTTTTTTGTTTATAAATTACCCTTCCTTGGGTAGTATCTTTATAGCAGTGAGAAAACAGACTAATACAGAGAATTGGTACTGGCAGAGTGGGGTACTGCTATAAAGATAACCTGAAAAATGTGGAAGTGACTTTGGAACTGGGTAACAGGCAGAGGGTGAAATATATAGGAGAGCTCAGAAGACAGGAAGATGTGGGAAAGTTTGGAACTTCCTAGATACTTGTTGAATGGCATTGACCAAAATGCTGATAATGACATGAACAATGAAGCCCAGGGTGAGGTGGTCTCAGATACAAATGAGGAACTTATTGGAAACAGGAGGAAAGGTCACTCATGCTATGCTTTAGTAAAGAGACTGGCAGCATTTTGCCCATGTCCTAAAAATCTGTGAAACTTTGAACTTGAGAGATTATTTAGGATATCTGGTGGAAGAAATTTCTAAGCAGCAAAGCATTCAAGAAGTGACCTGACATTTCCTGAAAGCATACAGTTACATGTGCACAGAAAGAGATAATTGGAAATTGGAATTTATGTCTATAAGGGAAGTAGAGCATAAAATTTGGGAAAATCTGCAGCTTGACCATGTGTTAGAAAACAAAAACCCATTTTCTAGGGAAGAATTCAAGCCAGCTGCAGAAATTTGCATTAGTAACAAGGAGCTGAATGTTAATAGCCAAGACAATAGGGAAAATAGCTACAGGATATGTCAGAGATCTTGGTGGCAGCCCCTCTCATCACAGGCCTGGAGGTCTAGGAAGAAAAATGGTGTAATGGGCCAGGCCCAGGGCCCTGCTGCTCTGGGCAGCCTCAGGACATGGTACCCTAAGTCCCAGATGCTTTAGCTCCAACAGTGGATAAATGGGGCCAAGGTACAGCTCAGGGCATTGCTTCAGAGGATGCAAGCCCCAAGCCTTGGCAGCTTCCACGTGGTGTTGGGCCGGTGGGTATGCAGAAGATAAGAGTTGAGGTTTGGGAACCTCCATTTAGATTTCAGAGGATGTATGGAAACTATTGGATGTCCTGGCAGAAATTTGCTGCAGGGGTGGAGCCCTCATGGAGAACCTCTGCTAGGGCAGTAAGGATGGGAAATGTGGAGTTGGAGCCCCATACAGAGTCTCCACTGGGGCACTGCCTGGTGGAGCTGTGAGAAGAGGGTCATTCTCCTCCAGACCCCAGAATGGTAGACCCACCAACAGCTTGCACTGTAACGTGGTGTGGCTGTGTCACCACCCAAATCTTGAATTGTAGCTCCCATAATTCCCTCATGTCGTGGGAGGGACCCAGTGGGTGGTAACTGAATCATGGTGGCCAGTCTTCTCCATGCTATTCTCGTGATAGTGAATAAGTCTCACGAGATCTGATGATTTTATAAAGGGGAGTTCCCCTGCACATGATCTCTCTTGCCTGCCACAGTGTAAAACATGACTTTGCTCCTCATTTGCCCGCTGCCATGATTGTGAGGCCTCCTCAGCCATATGGAACTGTGAGTCAATTAAACCTCTTTCCTTTATAAGTTACCCAGTCTCAGGTATGTCTTTATTAGCAGTGTAAGAATGGACTAATACACACCGTGTGCTGGGAAAAGCCACAGGCACTCAACACCAGCACATGAAAGCAGCTGCAGGGGCTGTAACATGCAGAGTCACAGGGGTGGAGCTGCCCATGGGAGTCTACCTGTTGCTTTAGTGTGCCCTGGATGTGAAATATGCAGTCAAAGGAAATTTTGGAGCTTTGAGATTTTATGACTGCCCCACTGAGTTTCAGACTTACATGGGGCCTGTGGCCCATTTGTTTTGGCCAATTTCTCCCATTTGAAATGGGAACATTTACTCATTGCCTATACCCCCATTGTATTTTGGAAGTACCTAACTTGCTTTTGATTTTACAGGCCCCTAGTTGAAAGGTACTTGCCTTGTCTCAGATGTGACTTTGGATGTGGACTTTTGAGTTAATGCTGACATGAGTTAAGACTTTGAGGAACTGTTGGGAAGGCATTATTGGTTTTAAAGTGTGAAAAGGACATGAGATTTGGAAGGGGCCAAGGGCAGAATGATATTGTTTGGCTCTGTGTCCTCACCTAAATCTCATCTCAAATTGTAATCCCCACGTATCAAGGGAGAGACCTGCTGGAAGGTGATTGGATCATGGGGGTGGTTTCCTCAATATGGTTATTGTGATAGTGAGTGAGTTCTCACCAGTTTTGGTTGTTTGATAGGTGTCTGGTACTTTCCCCTGAAGTTTCTCTCTCTTTCTTGCCACCTTGTGAAGAAGGTGCCTGCTTAGCCTTTGCCTTCTGCCATGATTGTAAGTCTCCTGAGGCTTCTCCAGCCATGTGGAACTGTGTGTCAATTAAATATTTTTTTGTTTTTAAATTACCCATTCTCAGGTAGTATCTTTATAGCAATGTGAAAACAGACTAATACACTTGGACCAATGAATAAGAACTTGTATCTTCCCTCATAACTCATACTAGAAATACACTGTATCTAAATTTTAGGAAGAACTTTACTCATGATTTTTCTTATTGTTATGAAACAATGGCTAAATTTGGGCTGTAGTAGAACATAAGGGCATAGTTGTGTGGATTGGTTACTAATTAATTAAATACACAGAATGACTGTTTTTTTTTTTTTTTGAGACAGAGTCTTGCTCTTTTGTCCAGGCTGGAGTGCCATGGCATGATATTGGCTCACTGCAACCTCTGCCTCCTGGGTTCAAGCAATTCTCCTGTCTCAGCCTCCCAAATACCTGGGATTACAGGAGTGCACCACTATGCCTGGCAAATTTTTGTATTTTTAGTAGAGATGGGGTTTCACCATGTTGGCCAGGCTGGTCTCAAACTCCTGACCTCAGGTGATCTGCCTGCCTCGGCCTCCCAAATTGCTGGGATTACAGGCATGAGCCACCGCACCCAGCCTAATGTTTTTAATGTAAAGTATAGCATACTCTATACTGCCTAACCCTAGTCCATATCTATATATAGCACTGAGCAGAAGAAAAAATATATTTTACTGAAAAAGAAAAATGTATGGGATCAGTAATTATAGGCAATGCATGCAGTTACAAGATTTTGTTGGCATATGCTTGAATATGTTTTGTTTGTTAGTAGAAGAATATACCAAATCAGTGGACTTAGACAATTAGGACTTTATGAATAAATCACATCTTGGTCATCAGGGTATAGAGATCCAGGCCAGACAATAAAGAAAATGATATTTATGGTCACATTTATGTGACCATAGAAGTGATGTCAGCAAAAAGGAACATAGCTGGATACTAAGTAAAAAAGAGGTTTTGATCATGAATAAACTCTGCCTGTGCCCCCCACTTGTTGCCCCAGTTACTGCTTGTCTTCATGCTCATGACATGATAACGGACAAAGCTGTGTGCCAGTTAGATTAGTAGTAATGAGGTATGAACCCATAAATATTTCTTACAAGATTGCCTCAAGAGAAGGACTAGGGTGAAGTTCAAGTGAAGTTTATTTTTTGTTTTCCTTTCTGCCATAATCTACATCATCTAATTTCTAGTCACAATAACCCTACTCATGGCAGATATAGATTATTAAACAATAGAACTACTGCTTCTCATCATTATGCTCAGTTGGATTTTCTTGTTGCTGTGTTTGACAGTCTACTGCCTAAAAATCTGTTTCTCTCTGTTGTTTTCATAGTAAGACCAAGCCCTTCTAGTTTCCACTGAGGAAAATGTGACCTGGTTGAAAAATGCCAAATATAAACAATATCGTATGGAATCTTTCCAAGAGGCACAACACATAGGTCGTATAGATTTGTGTTATAAATGAGCCAATAAATTATTATATTTCCCATATGATACAAGAGGCAGATGGATAGAGGTAGGATTATCTTTACGAAAGAAATAAGGAAACAGATTTTGATGTTTAGTCTAGTTGAAATATGGGGGAAGGACAGAATCTGAGGAATAAAATTGGCTGAGCACAGAGTCAGGAAGAAGCATCAGGTAGCTAAAGCCTTGCATTTAAAGTCACATAAAAATGTAGAATATCTAGAAATTCATCTTGACTTTTTTTATAAGTAATTCCACCCTCAAGGGAATGTGGGCAAAATTGGGAAGATTGTTACTATTCCAAGGCTGTCAATATTAAAAGGCAAATTCTGACAGTATTTTGAAGTTGTACAATTAGACACCCAAATGGAAAACATGTTGACACCAATTGCTTTGAAGATGCCAGAGGATGGCAATGAGTTCAGTTTTTAATTGACTATACCTAGCAAAGTGGGTAGAGAGAAAGAAGATTAAGAGTAGAAATTATAAAACATTGAATTAAGTTAAGGCCTATACTCATCATATATATATACATATATATATATATATATATACATATATATATATATATATATACATATATATATATATATACATATATATATATATATGTATATATATATATATATATAGAGAGAGAGAGAGAGAGAGAGTTGAGAAACTATCTTAAAACATGTTGTATTTAATATTTCCTTGCAGGCAAACAACTATAGAATCTACATAAAAAGTTCTGACCATCAAACTGTAACTTGGTTCAATTCACTGAATGTTAATTGAGTTAAAAATATGTTTAGAGTCTTCAGATTTTCAAAAATAATTACTAGATTGGGAAATGCCATTTAAACAAACCATTAAAACTAATTGGGTGGCTGGGTACAACGGTTCATGCCTGTAATCCCAGCACTTTGGGAGGCTGAAGCGGGTGGATTTCATGAGTCCAGTTTAACCAGCCTGGCGAAATGCCTTCTCTACAAAAAATATAAAAATTACCCTGGTGTGGCATTGTACACTTATAGTCTCAGCTACTTGGGAGGCTGAGGTGGGAGGATCACTTGAGCCTGGGAGGCAGAGGTTGCAGGGAGCTGAAATCATGCCGCTGCACTTTAGCCTGAGCAACACACCGAGACATCATCTCAACAACAACAACAACAAAAGTATTGGGAACATACATTTTCCATTGATAAAATTTTAAGAAATTAAAAACTTCATTTTTCAGAATATATATGAATGTCCTACCCACGTTAAATGTGTGGATTCTGTGCAAGAAGAGCTAAACGGCTATATAGTCTTTCAGTTTGAGGATCCTCTGTGATGTCCAAGTATACTAAAAGAAACTA
The DNA here is from genome assembly GCF_000001405.40 of Homo sapiens. Taxonomy (NCBI): domain Eukaryota; kingdom Metazoa; phylum Chordata; class Mammalia; order Primates; family Hominidae; genus Homo; species Homo sapiens. The sequence continues at coordinate 146,646,475 of NC_000023.11, forward strand.
GGATAATCAATTGCAGTGTTATTATACATTACCCTGTCATTTAAGTTACTAATTTTTGTACTCAAGTTGTATAACAGATTGACCATGTTTGAAAGAATACAGTACTATTTCAGAAATCCTGGCCTGTATTTCCAACATCCTAGTTGATATCGTCCTTTGAGTATCTGATAACAACCTAAACCTAATATGTACTAAACCAAGCTCTTCATGTTACTCTCCAAGTCTACTCCACTTATAGTCTTTCCCTTTCTCTTAATTAGTGGCAACCCTGACCTTTCAGTCCTCACCCAAAATATCTTGCTGTAATTCTTGATCTCTTTCTCATATCCAATATGTTGTTTGTCATTACATCTTATCAGCTATACCTTTGAAATATGTTCCAGATTTGACTACATGATTTCCACTGCCACTACCTTGGTCCAAACCACCAACATCACTCCTTAGATTATTGTAGTAACTTCTTAACTGGCCCCCCGACTCTGCACTTGCCTCCCTTTAGTCTAATCTCAACACAAAGCTGAGTGATCCTCTCAAAAGTAAATCGTATTATATGACTCCTGTGTGTAAATTCCTCCAATGGCTTCCAACTTGATTCAGAGTAAAAGCCAAAATCTTCATTATGACTTAATGGATAGGTAAATTGCATGTCACAGGAGTTTGATGTATAAATTATTTTGTCATTCCAGTAATAAGCATAGTACCTGATAGGTAGTTTTTTTATCCTTACCCTCCTCCCACCCTCTACCCTCAAGTATGCCCCGGTGTCAGATTTTCTTTCTGTTTTTTTTCCATTATATTTTAATTTTTATTGCATCATTCTGCAATTTTTCCTCAATTGTTTTCCTGTCTTTTTTGCTGTTATTTGACTTGGTGTTTTATTTCTCCTGTTTCACTTTTTCTTACTGTTTGTTTACTGGTTCAGAAAATATACAATGTATTTCTACAAATTGTTATACTTGTAATTGTCAATATGCCCTACTTAACTTGAAGTAATATTAGTCATTATCTTTAATATCCTTCTGAATAATACAATATAAGAACCTTAAATACTTTAACTCTGTTTATTACTCATCTTGGCTTGTTATGATAAAAGAATAACAAATAGTCTAAGACATAATGAATTTAAAGCTGAGTTGATTGCTGGGCAAGGCAGAGAAAATCTGATCCAGCATGGAGGGGTTGGCTATGGGATAGGGCCTTCATATTACTGTCAAAGAATATCCCCAAGACAGTTCGCACATTGGGTATTTACATTTAGGCATGAAAGAAGGAGAGCAGTCCCTGTGAAGATTGCCTCCCAGAACAAGGGCAAGGGTAGAGTTTAGAAAGTTGAAAAGAGGCAAATTTGGATAGTCCTGGAGTCTCCTGGGGAAGTAGTTCAGCTGGATCTAGCCAGTTTCCAGAAAGGGAGCATAGCACGTGGCTGATGTCAGCCTCCTAGCTGCAAGGCTGTTCCCAGGGCTAGCTGCAAGGCTGTTCCCAGGGCTCACATTAAGTATGCAGACTTTGGCCTTTAGTATGCATATTATCTTGTATTGTTTCTGGACTTAGAGACTACTTAATCTATTTTCTCATTGCTTATAGAAAGTAGTTGTCCTCTAGACTTTCTTTGGTCAACCTACAGCTATGTAAATACCTTAGGGTTGGGGCTCTTCTCTGTCTTGTTTCCTATCCACCCTGCAGGCCAAGGTAGGCCACTCTCTGTGGGAACTTTCAATGTGGTGCAAACAAAACATCTATGCTCTATATAGCCATGGAATAATAAACATTTGGGGAATTGCATGCTGTCTGCTAATTGCCTAAATATGTGTTTTTTCTCATCAACTCTATGTTATTTCTGTAATGGTGTATATCTACGGATACATTGCATGACAAAAGGCAAAAAACATAATCTTACAAAGCTAAGTGATTGTTTAGTTGAAACAAAAATTTTTGTCAGTTCAGAACTGGTTGGTTGTGTTGGAGCTCAGGCACAAACCTACTGGTGAGCCCCAAATCCTTTTAGGTTACATGTTCGCTGTTTGGGTATTTTACTGCTGATTCTGTTAGTGTTTGCTCTGATTCTTTTTCTTCTAAGATACTAGATGTTGGCTATTTTACAACCTCCAGGCTCAGGGTCATACAGAAATCAAGTTGATATGCTGAAGGTTGAGTAGCAATTTTCTTTTTAAACATTTTTTAAATTTTAAAATATTTTGGCACTACCATTTTTACATTCTCCCAAATAGGACACTATTCATTTATACCAACAAATTTTGTTTAGATTTATCCACAGGGTTAACATTTTTGATCATCATTCCTCTTGACTCTTAGACTTAACTTCTGAGATCACATGCTTTCATTCTTGAAGTAAATCTTTTAGACATTTGATCAGGGAGTATTTTGATGATAAACTAAGTTGAATGAAAAATCCTTGTGGAGCAAAAAACAAACAACTTCATTAAAAAGTGGAAAAAGAACATAAACACTTTTCAAAAGAAGACATAACCATGGCAAACGAGCATATGAAAAATGCTCAACATCACTAATCATAGAGAAATGTAAATCCAAACCACAATGAGATACCATCTCGCACTAGTCAGAATGGCTATTATTAAAATGTCAAGAAATAACAGATGCTGTGGAGGCTGCAGAGGAAAGGGTACGATTAGACATTGCTGGTGGGAAAGTAAATTCATTCAGCCACTAGGGAAGGCAGTGTGGCATTTCTTCAGAGAAGAAATAGAAATAAAAATAGAAATAGAAAAAGAAAAATACTCAAAATGGCTATTATTAAAATGTCAAAAAATAACAGATGCTGGTGAAGTTGTGTGGAAAAGGAATGCTTATACACTGTTGTTGGGATTGTAAATTAGTTCAACCCTTGTGGAAAGCAGTATGGTGATTCCTCAAAGAACTAAAAACAAAACTACTATTTGACCCAGCAATCCCATTACTAGGAATATACCAAGTTCTACCCAAAAGACGCATGCACACGTATGTTAATCTCAGCACTACTCACAGTAGCAAAGACATGGATTCAACCTAAATGCCCATCAATGGTAGGTTGGATAAAAAAAAAAATGTGGTACATATACACCATGGAATATGATGCAACCAAAGGAAAAAATGAGATCATGCCCTTTGCAGGAACATGGATGGTGCTGGAGGCCATTATCCTCAGTGAACTAATGCAAGAACAGAAAAACAAATATTTCATCTTCTCACTTCTAAGTGGGAACTAAATGATGATAACATGTGGACACACAGAGGTGAACAAGACACTGAGGCGTACCTGAAAGTGGAGAGTGGGAGGAGGAAGAGCAACAAAAAATGTAATGATTCGTTACTAGTCTTAGTACCTGGGTGACAAAATAATCTGTACAATATACCCTTTGTGACACAAGTTTACCTATATAACAAACCTGCACATGTACCCCTGAACCTAAAATAAAAGTTAAAAAGACAGGTACAATAAAAAAGGCTTTATTTAATTCAAGAACAAGATGAAATGACTAGGCTACTAGCTTGTGGCATGTGGTATAATGTCAACATATACTTAAGATAAAAAATAATGATCCAAGTACTATTGTACTTCCCTCTACCCCAACAAAGTAAAAGTCTTCTAATAGTGACAGGAGAATAACAAGTTTCTTTTAGTAGCAAGCACAGGAAACTAATTCTAGTGTTTCAGCAAAACGTCAAGTACACTGAAAGGGTACTGTTGTTTCTCACAGTTTTGAAGAATGATTTTAATAGCCAAGACTCAGGAAAGGCTGCAATTATGGTGGATGTGGGACTCTAGTAGCAGAAAACTGTGAATGTTCTCCCTCAAATTTTGACATTGACATGATTTGGCTCTGAAGACTCTCAGTCTTGGTTTAAAAGTCTTTAAATACCCTTAAGAGAATTGTATTTGGTCTATGGATCAGTCAGCTATGGTGACATATTTGTTCATTTAATTATTTGCACTGATTTTCTTTCTGTTTTGAGGTTGTTTCAAGGAAAAGGAGAATTATTATAAATCAGATGGCTACCCCAAGACGAGTTTACTGTAGGTTGATAAAGTCTTTGATTTCAGTGAAGTTCAAGAGAAGTGGGAGATGATAAAGAGTAATTTAAACCATTTCAACATCCATTGATATTCCATTTTTCTTAAAATGCCTTATGCTGGAAATAAGTGATATAAAGATGAGTACACCCAAGGCCTGATTTGCCCTTCTGCTCTTCCTTGCCACCAGGCCTAATGCTATATTTTTACATCTCTGTACGACATCTATAAGGCATCTTTCCAGAGTGCCTGCTTTTGATAATCATCAAATTTAGGCAAGCCAATATCTGAAGATCAGGTAGAGAAAGTGTGTTGGGAAGGTATATGTGTAAAATAGTGTGGCAATTCATGCAAAAGAGAAAGGGAACTAAGAGAAGAAATCATGAATGAAGTAACACTGTAGCATCTTGATAGATGGTGTACAGAAACTACTGGCCATTTACCATAAATCATTTTTGTCTTCTTAGGCATATAACTAAACTACATGTCTCAGTCTCCCTTGCAATTTGATATGGTTATTTGACAGAGCCAATGGAACATGAGAGAAAATGTTGTGCTGTAGCAGGACAAGCCACAGACAAAACCCCTCAGACACCGAGTTAAAGAAGGAAGGGCTTTATTCAGCCGGAAGCTTTGGCAAGACTCATGTCTCCAACAACCGAGCTCCCCAAGTGAGCAATTCCTGTCCTTTTTAAGGGCTCACAACTCTAAAGGGGTCCACGTGAGAGGGTCGTGATCAATTGAGCAAGCAGGGGTACATGACTGGGGGCTGCATGCACTGGTAATTAGAATGGAATAGAACAGGACAGGGATTTTCACAGTGCTTTTCTATACAATGTCTGTAATCTATAGATAATGTTGATTAGGTCAGGGGTCGATCTTTAACTACCAGGCCCAGGGTGTGGCGCCAGGCTGTCTGCTTGTGGATTTCATTTCTGCCTTTTAATTTTTACTTCTTCTTTCTTTGGAGACAGAAATTGGGCATAAGACAATATCAGGGGTGGTCTCCTCCCTTAGTGCCATACTACTAACATTTTTATATAAGCTCCTTTCTTACTATTTTTTTCATATAACACACTCTCATGGCAACCACCAAGCTGCACTTGGAAGATGTATGTTGACTATGGTAGAGCTGCTATCATCCTGGATCCCTGAATGACCGTGAAGCAGAATATTCCAGCAACCCAGAACCACTCTGAACTGTTAAATCCATGGTGTATTAGTCCGTTCTCACTCTGCTATAAAGAACTTCCTGAGACTGGGTAATTTATAAAGGAAAGAAATTTAATTGACTCACAGTTCTTCATTGCTTGGGAGGCCTCAGGAAACTTACAATCATAGTGGAAGGTAAAGGAGAAGCAGGCACTTTCTTCACAGGGCAGCAGGACAGAGTGAGTGCAAGCAGGAGAAATGTCAGATGCTTATAAAACCATCAGATCCCGTGAGAACTCACTCATTAACATGAGAATAGCATGGGGGAAACTGCCCCCATGATCCAATTACCTCCACCTGGTACTGACCTTGACAAGTGGGGATTATAACAATTCAGGATGAGATTTGGCTGCGGACATGAAGCCAAACCACATCACATGGGAAATTAACTTTTAATATGTTAGGTGTTTTTTTTTTTAAATTTTTTAGTCTATTTGTTAACACACACTACTTTCCCTTATGTAGAAATTAGTACCATAAAAAAGTAATTACTATAACAAAAGTCTAAAGCATGCGTCACTGGCTTAATGTCAATGACAATACGTAGCAGACAGGGAAAATAGACTCCCAAGTTTCATATGGTTAAAACATTTGGCAAAGCCATCTTTCAATGTTTTGAAGCTAAAACAAAGGTATATGTGCCTATATCTCTAGCAGAACTGATTGTTAAGAGACAAACTATTAGTGCCAGTATGTCACTATGGGTTGACAATTATTTGCTACATTTAGCAAGAGGAAGCTCAGTTACTGAATGATCTTGCAGAACAGAGCTATGAGACAATCTGGCCCACTTAGGCAAGGACTGATATGCGAGAAGAAAAAAAAAAACTTTTTCTCTCATGTAAACTTCTGTATTTTAGAATCTGTTGGCTATATTGGCATAGCTTTTATTTCAACCAATCAGATGAAATAGTGGAAAGTATCAACAAAAGCATAGAATTGACTTAGAAGCACCCAAAAAATATCAAGACATTTTGTTTGTCTAGACCACAGTTTGGCAAACTATGGCTTAGGGCCAACTGAAGGCTTCTGCCTGTTGTTTTCTTCAACAAAGATTTTCTGGAATACAGCCATGGATATTCATTAATTATTATTATCTGTTATATAGGTATTGTCTATTGTATTGTATTGTATATAACATATTGAGTAGTTGCAACAGAGACTGTATAGTCTGCAAAGCAAAAGATATTTACTATCTGACCCTTTACAGAAAAACTTTGCTGAACCCAATGTGTCTGTGTATTGTAAATATGAGAGGGAATGGGAGATAATGCCCAAGAATATTTGCAAAAGTCAGTGTTGAAGGTCTCAAAAATCAAAATGAATAGGGCAATGGGGAATTATTACAAGTAATTGAAAAGGCAAGTGATTGCCCTTAAATATTTCCAGAAATTACACTGTAAGGTGACATTGACAAACTAGAGTGGTCAAGGACAATAAGGATGTAAACAAAGGATCTAAAACTAGGTCATAAGTAAGAATGGTTGGAAAATCTATAAATATTTAGTTTATAGAAGAGAAGATTTAAGGAGTACAGTATTTAAATATTTAAAAGCTTGGTTGGTGTGAAAATATTCAACTTATTTGCAAATATTCAATTAATCATAAGGCAGTTCTCCTCTAAAACAGACTCTTGAATAGAGCCAAATTGAGATTATTTAAATGGTCAAATCAGATAAGTGGGAATATACTCTAAAAATGTCCATCACAAAACCATGTCATCTATTTTTTGTGTTGAAATTCCTTGTTATACTTTCTCATTAATCCACTGCAATTGTATTCTCATTATCACTACTACTTCACTGAATTTGCTTCTTCCAAGGTCACTAGTAGCATTTTTATTTAAAAATTCAATGAATACTTTTCAGCCATTTACAGTATTCATGACATGCTTTTAAGAATTTTCCTTTTACTTTGATTTGTAACACTAACCTTACTGAGTTTTTTTTTCCTCTGTGTACATTGCATGTTGATCTTCCTCAGAGGAGTCTTTTGTTGTTCTTCCATTATGTTTGCTTTATTCTCTTCATTCTACCCCCATCTCACTGGCTAATGCTGCATATTCTAGAAAGGAGATGCTAAAGCCATAATGCATCATGTTTTAAACGTTTTTAAATAATTCACGAGTTTAAATGGTTTTAATATTAAGTTTAAAGAAAAAGATGTCTCTGTCAATGACTTTACATTTATTCATTTACAACTTGAGTGTCCAATTGACACTTCTTTGGTGCTCAAGACGTAATAGTGGGTAAGTAAAGGTATGTGAGTTTCTGGCTCTTATGAAATTTTCATTCTAGTTAGAAGGAAAGAACAGAAGTAAACCAGTATGTGGATAATCAGGAAAATTTCACAAAGGGCTAAGTACAGAAGTAAACAAAAATGTGGATAATCAGGAAAATTTCACAAAGGGCTAAGTACTATAAAGAAAGTAGACTGTAGTAATTAAACAGGGGTTATCTGGGAAAATGACTAATTTAGATAAGATGATCAGGTATGATTTCTAGGAGAACCGAATAATGAGAAGCTGGGACTTTTGACCTGAGGTCTGCATAATGAAAAGGAGCTAGTCATGTTAAGAAATGGGTGAATAGTATTACTAATGGATTCAACAGTGGGTCCAAAGGCCTGAAGGTAGGAATGAGATTGGCATGTTGAAGGAAGAAACAGAAAGAACAGAGTGTAGTTCACAACAGGGAAAGTAATAGTTGGTGAAGATAGAAAAATTATGGAAGCCAGATTATGTTGGGCCTTGTAGGCTAGGATGTGAAATTTGAAGTACCTATAAATGCAATAAAAAGAGCCACTGGAAGACTTTTTAACATGGTGTAACATGATATCACATTACCTGAATTGTTTTCTATTTCTCAGATGATACAAATTATGTAACGCCTTTTGACTTTGTTACAATGAAATTTAGACCTACAAATGAGCTGGCTGTAGTGGGATACACCTGTGGTCCCAGCTACTTGGGAGGCTGGATGGGAGGATCACTTGAGCCCAGGAGGCAGAGGTTGCATGAGCCAAGATTGTACCACTGCACTCCAGCATGGGTGACAGAGTGAGACCTGGTCTCAAAAAAAAAAAAAAAAAAAAAAAAAAAAAAGATCTATAGTAAATGCTTGTCCACAGGATATAGATTAGCTTATGACTACATGCATATTTATTATATTACTGGTATTTATTTCCAGAATAATGATTTTTGTTTATATGTAGCTTCTGTTGTAAAGTGTTTCAAACTATTTTGAATCATATACTACATCCTTATTGTACATAAGAGCATTGAATGTGGATTGAATAACCTACATGCAATGCTGGTTCTAACAGTGAGTTATTCGTATGCCTTTAAGGTAATCATTCAAACTCTTTGGGGCTTAATTCCCTCATCTCAAAATGAGGACTGGTTATAATTATTTCTGTACCTCTCAGGAATATTTTGTGGAGAAAGCAGACATATATGTATATGGACAAATAATCATAAAGCTATAAATATATATTTCTTGAGTTCCTTTTATGGGAAAAATTTACATATTAAAGTTTGGAGATTCAAGATGTATTTTTAGAAAAGTGATCTGGATTAATTTTTGTTGAAAACATGCTACCAAACATTTTAAATCCATGTACATTTCATACAGAGAAGGAAATACTGGATATCTTCTCAATTGTGTGAATCTTCCGAAGATTTTTTTAATGGGGTGTCTGAATCTCCTGATAATCATATGAAATTTGCATCATTAAGAGTTGAAGTTCAAAGTTAAAATTAGGAGCAAAGTTTGAAGGTCTCTGTAAGCATCCTCATTAGAGTTACTGCTAATGGCTATGTGCAAATTTTCTTAATCAGTTATTCAGTTTGATATCAATCTCGTCTGGTGCCTCAGACTTTTGAAACAAATAATGTGTTGCAGCTCTCAAGAATATATCTTTAGGCAACAGTGGAAAAATCACTTGACATCTATAGCCTTCATGCTTTTAAAAATATTTAAACTTTAGGTAAATTGCATAAGAAATTTTCAATTGTTATAAATTTTCAATAATTTATCTTATTTTTATCAAGTTATTGTATATGTTTTTGCTATGAAACACTGTCAACCCCATGTGTACATTATTTTAATCCTAGATGGGGGTATCTTTATAAATATTAATATTTCAGGAGTGGCCAGTGAGAGGACTCCTTAGAACTCAAGTTCCCTGTGAGCCACATTTTGGAAGCCTCACTGACTTGTAGAAAATGGTCACCTAAGGACTGAACCCAGTCTTCAGAACTATAACATTTGCATTGATTAATGTATCTTTATTTGGTAAATCTCAAAATTTAAGTGGCTTTTCACACCATTCCAAAATTTATGAAGTCTTATTTCATAATGCTTCAGGCTTTATACACTGCTTTGTTTTTTTTTATCTATAATTCCTTCTAATAACCACTTCTTGCCAATGTTAATATTACTTGTAATTGAAGGCTCAGCCATTTCTACTAGTGTTTTGTATGTGTGGAACAGTTATAAGTCAGCCTTTCTCTTCACTGATGTAGGTCTTTTCCTCATGGTTGTTTATTGCATATTGTCTCCAAAGCTGTCACTTAACAGTGGTTGGGGCCTGGGAAACAAAATTGGTGAGATATGCTTAATAAAATAATCCATAGAAGGAAGCCACTCTACAGGTAGAAGTCATAGAACCCCTGGAATATTGACAGAAAAGATATTAGGGTACAACATACATGCTGTAACCCTAAATAAGTAGAACATAGTATAGCCACCTTGTTGCCCTGCCCCCAAAATGGCCTATTTCAATTACTGTAAACTCTTGAAGATACTGTATTATATATATATATATATATATATATATATATATATATATATATATATATATATATATTCATACATCAGGTTGTCTGAAAATTATATGGTAAATATGAGGACTTCCTACATACATGTTGAAATGAATTATGGTAGCATTCTGAGACATTACATACCATGTGTTTGCATGCTTTTCATAATATCACTGCTCATTTTCTTCATAGAAATAAGCCCCCAATACAGTTTTTCTACCTAAGTTCTAAGCTTCTTAAAGGCAGAAATTGCAGGTTGTTTTTCCTAGAAAGCAGACTCTAAGGTGGAGAACTGTATGCAATAAGTTTATTAGGGAGTGTTTTCACACCTGTGAGGAAGTGACAACAGTAGAGATAATTGGAGGGAAGAGTTTAATTGCCATACAGGTGCAGCAAAAGCTTCAGCTCATCATGAAGGGAGCACTTGAACTGGGATGATCACTCAGAGTTGTCTAAATTTTAGGAAAGATATCCACACATTTATACTCCAGCAAACAATCACTCTTTAGGTGTAGGCTATTTCTGCAAAGATGGGATGATCTTGGGCAACCTAGCTCTTTTCAGATAAGAAGAGTTTTCAGAGTGTCTTGGCCAATAAATAGTAGCTGCCAATACTATAATAGCAGCTGGAGCAATGAGGTTTTTTCAGTCCTAAAGTTGGGCTGAAACTCTAGGAGACATACCATAGAATTCATTACAACAGGGTTGAATGACTGAGTCACCTCTATAACTCCCATAGAATTTGCTGAATTGCTGGCACATTGTAGGCACTCAAATAGTCATTGAATGAGTAAGTTAATATAATAATGTGATGGTAAACGTGAAATAAATATACAAACACATACTAAACAGTGATAAATTGTAATTATTATATTACTAGTATTTTTGTTAAAACCCATACTGAAAAACAAAGAAAAACTGCTTTTTTCTTTATTCTAAGAATATTTAATACAGGTCCAAATAATTCAAGTAAGCCATTTGTTATTTCACATCTTACTTATTAGATATGTTAGTCAGGTTACGGAAAAAAAACAGATAATACACTGAAACAAGGAAATGAAGAGAATTAACAGCAACCAACTTGATGTAATAAAATGTCATAAGGCTTGAAACAGCAGGCAGCCATTACTACCCCTAGGCCTGAAGGGCAAGTGGAGAGAGTAATTATTACAAAGCACAGATAGCAGCAACTAGGTTTCTAAGAGAGGTCTGTGGCCTTTCGTAGAGGGGCAGCCACTATCAATACAAAGCCCATCAAAGAGGGAACCTAGGGAATGAATCCCCAAACCTCATTCTACATCCACTCTTAATCTTTTGCAGAATGCAGGGAAATCTAATTGGTGCCATCCATATAGGTCAACTTCTGGAGCTAAGAACAGGGTGAAGAATGGTAGAGAGCAGATCTTGAGAGGTCAATCAGTGAATACTCTCTGCACACTAGTTATATATTCCATTTGGGGAATAATAACTTTTATCATTTCTATCAGGGCCCTCACAGAGACCATAGTATACTATGGTATCAACAAAATGGTTCCTATCCAGAATGGAAGTTAAACAGTATTTCTAAAATTGTGGTCTTGGGAGCTTGGGAAGTTCATAAAACTCTTTCGTATGTCCACATGGTCATAACAATTTTCATAATACTAAAACAGTTACCTTTTAAACTCTGTTTCTCTTACAAGTATATAGAAGAACTCTCTACAATATCTCACATCACAAAAAAAGAATGTAGAAATATGAGTATTCAGCTCTCTTCTATAGACCCAGATATTAAAAATACTGGCAAACAGGTGAAACAAGTATATTCTTCTCAATTTTTGTCTTATAAAACATTTATTTTTATAAAATTCATGATTTATCAATATACAGGTTTATTATTAGTTTTAAAAATGCATTGATAAACATTTTAAAGATTCTCAACATTAATTTCCAATGTAGTATATATTAATAAACATGAGTTATATGAGAGAAAGCTTTTGGAAATCCAGAATATTAAGAGTTTAAAGAAGTTTCAAAAGCAAATGTTTTGAAAATTGCTGATGTAAGAGATTCAGGAATTCTGCTTTCTGACTTATAATTTGCACTAAATAGTGGTCGAATAAAATGTTTCACTGTTTTGAAAGCTTTTGAAGAAGCATGTAAAAACATGTATTAAAGTAAACATGTATTGCCAAAGCTAGGCAATCAATTGAATTACTCTTATTTTTATCTACATTCTTGGTTTCTTGTTACCTTCCTGTTTTAGTCAACTTGTTCTGCTACAACAAAATATCTGAAATGAGGTAATTTGTAAACAGAAATTTATTTCTTGCAGTTATGGAGGATGGAACTTCCAGGATCAAGGTAGGCATTGGTGTCCAATGAGGGTTGCCCTCTGCTTCCAAGATGGTGGTGTGTTGCTGCATCCTCCAGAGGGGAGTTCCTCACATGTCAGTGTGTTCTCACATTGCAAAAGGGATGGAAGGGCAGGAGAGTGCTCCTTTCAAACTCAAGCTCTTTTAGAAAGATGCTAATCTCATTCTTGAGGGTATGGCTTTCATGACTCAATCACATTCCAGGGGTCACATCTCTTAATACTGTTGCATTAGGGATTAAGTTTCTACATGAATTCTGGATGGGACACCATCATTCAAACCAAAGCCTTTCCTCAGACATCCATTAAATGTAGCACTTTCCACTACCTGTTGTTTTACAGGGAAGTTATTAAATACCCCAACCTTACAAAGCCTCATCACTTACCAAGGCCTTTGTTTCACCTGAAAGTTAAAGAAGAGGTAAATCTTGAGAAGCCCAGCAAGGAAATGTGTAAGACAATGATCTACCACTAGGACTGAACTGAGGAATCATAGTTAAGTTTGCTAGGTTCTGGCTTCAGAACGTCCAGAGACACAACGTAAAAGGAGATTAAAGAAACGTTAGTTCAGCTTCCTGGTAACAAATAGGTTTGCTTGTGCTGTCAAAATGCTCTAAAAGTAGCCTTGGGATGCTGCTGCTGGTGTCTTATAAGGCATGGTACAACTGGGAAAGATCTGAAGTAGGGAAAGGCTTGGGGAAATGCTGCCTTATATTCTGGAGACAGTTCACTTGCCATTGTAACTATTTAGAATTAATTCCTGTAGTAACAATAGTAATAATAATGATACTGATAATAATGAAGAAAAGAAGAAAGGAAGGAGAAGGAGGTAGAGGAAAAAAGAAAGGAAGAGGAGGGAGAGGAGACACAATTTAAACGGATATTGAGCTGGAATTCATCAGGCAAAGTTCTATCAGTGGGAAACTGCACTAGTTCCACTCTGTGATTACTAAAGGCTTGAAAAAACACTCCTTGCTAAGAAGGCTGAGGGGGGCTTGAATTCTGCTTTTTAGCTCCCATCATACAATGGCCAAGTCTCATCTGGCTTACTATTGTTTGGGAGTCACAGTTAAATTTTGTCCATGCTCATGGAAAGTAGTCTCAAAGGCTGCAGGGTAATATACTGTTGTAGGCACACAATACAGAAATTAGGCCATTTGCAAATTGACGTATAAATATGGCAAGGTGAAAAAGAAACTCTAACAAGATTAAACATAATAGAAATAGCATGAGAAAAAATTATTTGACTTTTTATTACTCAATTGCAGGTTAAAAATATTGATGGAGATTTTTACTTGTTTTTGGTTTTAGTCAAGATGGAGTAACTCCATTCCTCTCAGGTCCCCTGCTTACAACTAAAAATGCTACAACAACAAGAACAACAAAACATAGGAAGTCTTTGAAAGGTGGAAGAAAAGAAGGCAGACTGCATAAGAGACACTGGGATTTGAATAATAACATGATTGTGTGTTTCTTGGGCTTCCTTACTGCTTTTCATATATCCCAAATAGAGTTCTTGAAAAGAATTAAACCTAGACTATCAAGAGGCACAGATAATCCTCTTGAAAGGCTTGTTCCCCTAGCCACAGGATTGAAAAAAGAGAGGCCTAAGATCAGAAAAACTTTTGACAATACCCATCTTACTCCAGCCAAACACCAGCAAATGTGGCAGAAATGCATATAACAACCATCTCCACCTCCAGAAGTTTCAGCTGGCTTGAACAGGGAGCTGATATTCCATACAAAAACCCCAGTCTCCAACATCGAACCCCATAGAAACAGGCAGAATTCTCTGGTTACCTAGGGAAATTCTGTTGGTGGAACCAAGTGGAAAGCTGATCTTCCATTCCATGCTTAGCAGAAGTAGATAATAGTCTTATTCCCTCAACCAACTTAGTGTAGTTGGGACTGAGCAGGGAACTTATCTTCCATTCCCCACCCAGTGAAATCAGGTGGTACTCTGATTATCAGCAAGACCCACCAAGCTGAGCCTCAACTCTCACCCTTCTGTAAGGTAAGTTAGTGAGGCTGTTCAAGTCAGAGAAAATTGCTACTCCACTTCATTTCACTACTAATTGTACCAGGTGTTAGCAGGATCCAGCTGGTAGCTGAGTCTTCATTCTCAAATGGCTGGAACAAGACTGAACAAAGTGGAATGAGTACAGTTTAGGTGACACTATATGTCACTGCTGGTGTCAGTGGGGCCCAGTGATAAATAATGTTTACACACAACTGGCAGCAACAGACTGAGGAATATGGTGTGAGGCAGGGTAAGGTGGTATTGCTAAGCTCCTTTTGCCTAACCTTGTGCCAGAAGGTATGGAATTGAGTGCTTACCCCCAATTAGCATAACTGAGGCAGAAGGAAGCATTGTAAAGTGGGGCCAACAACTTCTTCTTACTTCATGTCAGTGAGCCCACTGTGAAGCTGCTCTAATACCCAGGAAGAAGAAACAAGATATTGTGAGTTGGTGCCTACTTTCTCTGTGAAGGGATCAGAAAGGTGAAGGGGTGAACTGAACTTCCAATCTATCCACTTGTAATGAGGCTATGTAAGTCAGCACTTCACTTTTGCTGTGTTCTGGGAAGTCAGGGACCCCAAACGGAGGGACCAGCTGAAGCCACGGCAGAAGAACATAAATTGTGAAGATTTCTTGGACATTTATTAGTTCCTCAAATTAATACTTTTATAATTTCTTATGCCTGTCTTTACTGCAATCTCTGAACATAAATTGTGGAGATTTCATGAACATCTATCACTTTCCCAATCAATACTCTTATAATTTCCTATGACTGTCTTTACTTTAATCTCTTAGTCCCATCATCTTTGTAAGCTGAGGATGTATGTTGCCTCAAGACCCTGTGATGATTGCATTATCTGCACAGATTGTTTGTAAAGCTTGTGGGTTTGAACAGTATGAAATCTGGGCACCTTGAAAAGAACAGGATAACAGCAATTTTCAGGGAACAAGGGAGATAACCATAAAGTCTGACTGCCTGCGAGACTGGGCAGAACAGAGTCATATTTCTCTTCCTGCAAAAGCGAATAGGAGAAATATCACTGAATTCTTTTTCTCAGCAAGGAACAGCCCTGGGAAAAGAATGCATTCCCAGGGGGAGGCCTCTAAAATGGCCGCTCTGGGAGTGTCTGTCTTATGCAGTTGACGACAAGGGATAAAATACACCCTGCTTTCCTGCAGCACCCCCAGGCTTGCTAGGATTAGGAAATTCCAGCCTGGTGAATTCTAGTCAGACCAGTTCTCTGTTCTTGAACACTGTTTCCTGTTGAGATGTTGATCAATGACAATGCATGCACAGCGGGACATGGAACCTCATTAGTAATTCTAATTTCACCCTGGCCTTGTGATCTTGCTCTGCCCCCATTTGCCTTGTGATATTTTATTGCCTTTGAAGCATGTGATCTCTGTGACCCACACCTTATTTGTACACTCCCTCCCCTTTGAAAGTCGCTAATAAGAACTTGCTGGTTTTGCGGCTCGGGGGCATCACAGAACCTGCTGACATGTGATGTCACCCCAGAGACCCAGCTATAAAATTTCTTTCTTTTGTACTCTTTCTCTTTATTTCTCAGACCGGCCGACACTTAGGGAAAATGGAAAAGAACCTATGTTGAAATATTGGGGACTGGTTCCCCCGATATTGCTGGAGGTGTTGGTGGGGCCCACTGGGAAGCTAAACCCACACACTCACGAGGCTGTTGCATTGCACCTCAATGAGATAGCTGCTTGCTAATAAGGAATATTAAGCATGATTCAGAATTACATAATATAACAACAGCTAGGATACAAAAAAGAAATTTATCATATCAACAGCTAGGAATATCACAACATAAATGAGAAGTGGTAATCAACAGATGCCAATATTGAAGTGAATCAAATGTTGGAATTATATTACAAGGATTTTAAAGCAGACTATATAAAAATGTTTCAAAAGCAATTATAAATCCTTTTGAAACAAATGAAAACATGAAAGATCTTACTAAAGGAACAAAGTTATAAAAAATAACCGAATGTAAATTATAGAACTGAAGAATAAAATCTCACTGGATGGGTTAAATAGCAGAGTGAAAATAATAGAGAATAGAATTAAATAACTTGAGGACAGACTGTTAGAATTTACTAACTCTATAAAACAGAAAAAGCCTGTAAAAGAATGAACAGAGCCTCAGGGACCTGTAGGACATATATATGTATATATGCATATACCCGCCCCCCCCCACACATCCTCATTCATATAAGTTTTTTAATTCATATTTTATAGTTGAAGGAGAAACATAATCCATATGATATGGTGCTCAATGTATGTAAATATCTGACTATTATATTTAAAAAGTGGAGAAGAGAAGATATAAGGGCACAAATAAAAGTCTACATTCAACTCAAAGTGGTAAAACATGAATACCAGTACACTATGATAATATGTATATTAACACATACACACATAACTATAACAACCACTATAAATAGAAAATGAAATAGAATCCTAAAAGTGTTAAGTAGCACACAGGAAGGAAGAAAAGAGAAACACAGGAAGCCAATGAAAAACACATAATAAAATGGTAGATGAAAGCCTTGAAATATCAATAATTATTTAAATGTAATGCTCTGAATGCACCAATTAGGATTTTTGAAGGGGGAATAAAACCAAACACAAAAAACCCTACAAACAATCTAAACCATCATGTAAAATAATATGTTGTCTACAAGTAACTCTTTCAAATACCATAGCATAAGTAAGTTGAAAGCAAAATGATGGAAAATATGTATTATGTACATATTAATTTTTTTTAAAAAAAATTACAGGGTAGCTAATATGATAAAGCCAAATTGAGCACAAAAAAAAACTAAAAAGAGGAAATATACATAATTATAAAAATATCAATCCACCAGAAAGACATCATTGTCCCAGATGTGTACACACCAAACAACAGAGCCTCACATTATGTAAAGAAAAAACCAATAATGCTGAAAGGAGAAATACATAACTTCATAATTATACATATAGGAACTTCAAGCCTCCACTCTTAGCAATTGACAGCAGTACTAGCAAATCAGCAAGGATCTAGAATAACAACATAGTTAATCAATAGGATCCAATTGTCTACACACACACACACACACACACACACACACACACATGCATCATTCCACCCAACGACAGGAGGACGCACATTGTTTTCAAGTGCCCATAGAACATTCACTAAGTGTGACAGTCTAATGGCCCTTTCCCTAAGATATCCATGTTCAAATCCCCAGAACATATGAATATGTAAGGTTACATGGTAAAGGGGAATTAAGGTTGCAGATGGAATTAAAGCTGCTAATTAGCTGACCTTAAATTGGTAAGATTACCTTGAATTATGAATTGGACTCAATTTAATCACAGGGATCCTTAAAAGTAGAGAAGAGAGGCAGAGAGATAGTAGTCTGACAAGGAATTCTTCTGATGTTGCTGACTTTGATGATTAAGGAAGAAAGGCCACAAGCCAGTGAATGTGGGCAGAATACAGAAGGTGGAAAGGGCAAGGAAAGGGATTCTCCTCCTAGAGCCTCCAAAAAGGAAAACAGAACTGCCAACCCCTTGATTTTAGTGAGCTCTATGAGGGAAGTTATGCATTTCTGAAGTACATAACTCTAATACATTTGTGTTGTTGTTTTAAGCCACTAAACTTGTAGTAATTTGTTACAGCAGACGTAGAAATCTCATGCTCCAAAACAGACAATCTCCTTGGCCATTAAACAAACGTCAACAAATGTAAAGTTCCCAGAGTTATACAGAGTGTATTCTCTAGCCACAGTGGACTCAAGCTAGAAATAAATAACAGAAAGATGAAAGAAAAATCTTTAAACACTTGAAAAATCAATAACATTTCTTATTGGGTACAATGTTCACTCTACAACTTGAAGAGTAACAGTTATACCAAAAGCTCAGACAACACCACTACACAATATATGTATGTAAGAAATCTGTACTTGTACCCCTTAAGTATATGAAAAAAACTAAAGATTATAAATAAATAACACATTTCTAAATAATCTCTGAGACAAAGAGGAGTTCTCAAGAAAAAAACAAAATAATATATAATGTTCAATAATAATGGTAATACAGCACATCAAATTGTTTTGCAGGCAGCTAAAACAGAGAAAATTTATAACACTGAATTCTTACATTAGAAAGAAGGAAACACTCAAATCAGTAATCCAATTCTCTAATGTAAAAAAAAAACCAGGAAAATAAAAATAAAATAAAATAAAGCCTATGAAAGTAGAAGAAAGTAAATAAGAACAAAAATATGTAAAATTGAAAACAAAAAAGCAATAAAGTCAGTGAAACAAAAGCTGATTTTTAAAAAATATCAACAAAATTGACAAACTAAGGAAAACACTGACAATAGTAACAGAAGATACAAAATACCAATATCAACAACGGAAAAAAGCAATATCACTACAGACCATGCAGCTCAAAAAGATAAAAGCAGAATATCACAAACAACTCTACACAGAGAAGTTGTCAACTAAGAATAGGTGAATTCCTTGCAAACCACAAACTACTGAAATGCAAATAAAATGCAACAGTAACTCTGAATAATCTTATAATCACTAAAGAAATTAAATTTGCAATTATAATACTTCTATAAAGGATGTTTCCAGGCCCAGATGGTTTACAAAATAATTTTATCAAATATTGAAGGAAAAATTAACTCAATATGTATACAATATTTTTCAGAAAATTGATGAGGAAGATACATTTATGAGACTAGTGTTATCCTGATACCTAAGCCAAACAAAGACAGCATGAAAAAAGAAAGAAAACTGTAGGCCAACATGTCTAACATAGATGCAAAATTTCTCAACAAAGTTTTAGAACATAAAATCTGGCAATATAAATATCATATATTAATAAAAAGAATAATCACTATGATCAAATTGGTTTTGTTCCAAGTATTTGACACTGATTCAACATTTGAAAAATTAATGTAATCCACCATATCAACAAGGTTAGGGAGAAAAAAACTGCAGATCAAAACAACAATGAGATACCATCTCACACCACTTAGAATGGCGATTATTAAAAAGTCAGGAAACAACAGATGCTGGTGAGGCTGTGGAGAAATAAGAATGCTTTTACACTGTTGGTGGGAGTGTAAATTAGTTTAACCATTGTGGAAGACAGTGTGGCGACTCCTCAAGGATCTAGAACCAGAAATACAATTTGACCCAGCAATCCCATTATTGGATATATACCCAAAGGATTATAAATCATTCTACCATAAAGACACATGCACACATATGTTTATTGTAGCACTATTTACAATAGCAAAGACTTGGCACCAACCCAAATGCCCATCAATGTTAGACTGGATAAAGAAAATGTGGCACATATACACCATGGAATACTATGCAGCCATAAAAAAGGATGCGTTCATGTTCTTTGCAGGGACATGGATGAAGCTGGAAACCATCATCTTCAGTAAACTAACACAGAAACAGAAAACCAAACACTGCATGTCCGCACTCATAAGTGGGAGCTGAACAGTGAGAACATATGGACACAGAAGGGGGAATATCACACACCAGGGCCTGTTGGAGGGTGGGGACAAGGGGAGGGAGAGCATTAGGACAAATACCTAATGCATCTGGGGCTTAAAACCTAGATAACGGATTGATAGGTACAGCGAACCACCATGGCACAAGGTTATCTTTGTAACAAACCTGCACATTCTGCACATGTATCCCAGAACTTAAAGTACATTTAAAAAAAAAAAGGAAAAAACATAAGATTGTATCAACGAATGCAGTAAAAAAAAAAAAAATGACAAAATCCAATGCCTATCATGATAACCTCAGCCAACTAGGAATAGATAACTTTCTTCACTTCTCACACATAGCCCCCTATATCACAGAACCATCAATCATGCACCAAAGCCTTCTCACATTTGGAATCTCTTTGATTTCTCCTTCTGCTGTATCTTTTCTACTTCTTCTTTTGATACATCTCTCTGACTTTCTTTGGCTTTCCTTTTCCTCTTATATCATATGACTGCATTCACCCCACCTGGATCTAGGATAGTCTCCCTATTTTAAGGTTACCTGATTAGCAAACTTAATGATATCTGCAAAGTCCCTTTGTAGCAGTACCTGGATTAATGGTAGATTGAATAACCAGGTGATAGAAATCTTGGGAACATTTATTTAGATTTCTGCCTACAACAGGTGGCATACTCAGATAAACCTCCAGAGGGACATGAATAGGAGGTCTTAATGGTTGAATGCTACTTCAGTCAAATTCCTTCTTTCTTTCTACTCTTCATTTACTAAATACTTATTGAATGAATATTATGTACTCAGACTGTGATAGATAAAAGGGATAAAGAAGTGAATAAGAAAGAGTACCTGGCCTCGTGGATATGGTAAACTTGTGATGAATACCAAGAGTTAAAAATTTGTTTGGTGATTATCACCAAAATGTAAATAGATATAATTCAGGGAGACGAATGTTTTGGGAAGAGTAATTATAGGGTGCTGTGGGAGCTAAATAGAGAGTCATCTGAAACAGACTAATGAAGAACAAAATTTGCAATCTACATTTCTCCAAAGGTTAGAGAACTGATCATCGCCACAATGATTTCAGATCTAAGGATATATCTGAGAAATGATGGCCAGATGTAGAAATCTGTGGGCTGGGTATGTTACGACTGGATGATGATCACAGCGGTCTCCAAATACTTAAAGAGTAGAGATCCCTATAGGAGAGGCTTTGGTGGGAGGATGGAAAGCACCCCGTAGTATTCCATGTTTCTCGTCTCAGTAACCATCCTTATTGTGATTTTTATTTGAAATATAAGATAAATGTTTGTGTTTCATAAGATATAACTTCTACATTACATGGAGAAAGAACATAGCAAGAATTGATGAAAATAGCTTCCTCCTCTTTTAACTTCCTTCCCTGTCTTCCTCCTTACTTCCTTGTCTTCTCCCTTCCTTTCTTCTTTTAAATGTTGAAGGAAAAGGGGAAGGCAAGTGTTAGGTAGCACTTTATTTAAACAAGGAAATCATTTTTCTGTGACATCTGGGCACATATGTGAGTGCCCATTATCTGCAGAAACCTCTATAGTTCCTAGTTGTATAGAGTTAACACTTTTGGGATTCTATGTTTCCTCCAAAAATAGCATTTTATTCAATGATGACTTTTCTATTTATTTTTAACTGCCTTTAGAAGAAATGGTGAGGGGGGAGGTGGGGGCAGTGAGGAATCACACTACCGTGGTGCCAAATTAAAAGCTCCTGAAGGGAATAGTGCGAGTGATTATTATGACACTGACCATTCTGTGTTAAAATAAGTTTAATGAAGAAAATGGATTATGAAAATAAGATCCAGGTTAGCACCAAATATCCTGGTGTCAAATCAGTAAAGTATTTTACTTAGTACATATATAATCTGGCTTGCAACACTCAAAAGGTGCTAGAGAAATTGTTTTAGGTAAAATGTCTGCCATGATTATTTCCAAAATGACTTAAGGCTAACTCACACATAAATAGTGGAAAATGTGCAAAGTTAGAGCAGAGACCAACTAAGTTCAAGAGCTGCCTCTTACAGGAAGCCTTCCCTGACTCTATTCCGTTTCTGCTTTTAAGGCTGAGTTAGGTGTTTCTTTTTCTCTTCCGATAAGTCCCCATGCTTCTATCTGTCATGGTATGTGTTTCCTGATACATTGTTGATGATGGACTTCAACTTGAGAAGGTATTACCCATTTTGTGTCAGATCAATATACCTTGTCCAATGCTTGGCATAGACTATAAACTTAGTAAATAGCCACTAACAGTTGTAAGTGGGCACAGACATAGCTCTTAAGTTTCTTGACAGTGAAGGAAAAAAAAAAAGGTCATAGTGAGTATCTTAGTTAATTCAGGCTTCTATAATGGAATGCCATAGACTTGGTGTCATATAAACAACAGAAATTTCTCACAGTTCTGGAGGCTGGGAAGTCCAAGATCCAGGTGCCAGCAGATTTAGTGTCTGGTGAGGACCCACTTCCCGGTTCATAGACAGTCATCTTCTTCTTGTAACCTCACATTGCAGAAGGGGCAAAAGAACTTTCTGGAATCTCTTTTATAAGGGCACTAATCCCCTTCATGAATTCTCCACCCTCATGAGCCAGTCACCTCCCAAAGGCCCCACCTCCAAATCATATTGAGGGTTACGTTTCAATATGTAACTTTTGGGGAGACACAAACATTTAGTCTATGGCACAAGTTACATAATTTGAGGACCCTTTTCTATCTTTATTTGAACTCTTTGAGCAAGACAAACAAGGAATCACTCTGTCCTTTTTCTATGAGCTTCTTTAACAGCATAGTATCTTGGTTTTCTCCCATTCTTACTGGTTACTTTTTTCAGTTTACTTGTTATTATTTCTGCATCTTCGTTGAAATGTCTGTCAACCCTATCTTGGGTCACATTCTTCTCTCCCTCTCTATGCTTTTTCTATAAGTAATCTCATTTATTTCTGTGACTTCACATTTTCCTGCCCTCTGTCATAATATAATTTGAAACGATCTGGACCACCTGGACATCACATTGATTCCCTGCATTGGTAACATCATGTAGGTTGGACAGGACAGGCAAGAAGTGACAAATAGACTGAAGGCTTTGTTAAGACACATGTACTTCAGAGGGTGGGAAATTAACCTTAATAAGTTTCAGGGACCTTCAATTTCTGTGAAATTTTGAGGTTTCCAGTAGTCAGGAATGTTCTGGGATATTTGCTCCAAAGTAAAAGGCACATTGCTGCATCCATTGTGAATCTCACATTACAAAGAAAGAAACGCAGCACTAGGTAGCCATCTTTGGATTCTAGAGGCCTAGAATTCCACACCTGAGCAATTTCTCCTCTTCTTATATTTGATAATATGGAAATCTACCAGCTTTGAGTGGGGCCAAGAAGGAAAAGGCAGTGAAGCAGGTGCAGACCACATTGCAATCATTCTTGTCATTTGAGCCATATAATTCGTTAAACCCTGTTGTATTGGAAATATTAGTTTTGGGAAAGGATGCAGTTTGGAGTGTATGTTTTAGTGGGATATTCACAATATAACCCCTTGGTATTCTGGAACAAAGCTATGCTATTCATAGCAAAGAATTACATGTGTTTTAAGAAACAGCCCTTGGAGTGCTGCTGGACCCTGGCAGAGGCATAACACTTCGCCATGTGTCACCAAGTGAACATGTATTCAGAACTGCTCTAGGGCTGAGTTCTATTGAACCCAACAAATTATACAGTCAGACATGTCTAGCAACAGGCCATTAGGAAATGGACTAAATTAAACCCAAGCAGGATTAGAGAGCACAAATAAGCTGCATGAGCTGGAAGACTAGAATGCTTGCTACCCAAAAGAGTTGTACCAGTGTCCCTTCCCTGGTTTGCACCCATAGACATATAAGGGCTTCTGTACTACTGACTGAACGAAGAAAAACTCTGAGCTTAATTTACAGATGGGTCAGCATGCTACATGAATGAAATGGAAAAATTGACAGTGGCCACATTGTAACCACATTCAGGAGTGGCCCTGTAATTTAATGAAGATAAAAATCTTCTTGATGGTAAGAGCTTCAGTTCGAGCACCCTGGTTATCTACTTTGTGTAGAGGGAGAAGGGGCCTGAGGTGAGAATATATAGATTAATGGGCAGTGGTCAATGGCCTGGTCTTCTAATCTGGGGCCTAGAAAGACAAGCACTAGAAAACTGAAGACAATGAGGTCTATGGAATAGGCATGTGGACAGACATATGGGAGAGAATAAAAGTGTGAAAATATTTTAATGTTCACCAGAAAGCATTTACTACAGATAGGTACTGCAATCTAAGTTGATGAAATGACTTGATCAGTTGACCTTCCCAGCCTTTCTCATTAGCGACCCCAGAAGTATCATAATGGGCACGTGAATGGAATGGCCATGGAAGCGGAGATGCAGACTGTATGTGTGTTCAACAGCATAAACTTCCACAAGCCTAACTATTGTTGTCTCTGAATGTCCAACTTATCAGCAACATAGACCAAATCAGCCCCCCTATGACACCATTATTCAAGGAGACCAAATGACCTTGAGGTGGCAAGGTTGACCACATTGGGCCCCTCTATTTTGGAAAGGCCAGAAGTTGATTCTCACAAAGATAGATACTTATCTAGCCATGAGTTTGCCTTTCCTGCTTATAGAGCCTCAGCCAGCACTTAACATCTGTGAGCTTATAAAATTCCTGATCCATAGACTGGGTATCTCACACAGCACAGCATCTGACCAGACTGCCCACTTCACAGAAAATGAGGTCCAGGAGTGGGCTCATGGCCATAGGTTCCACTGACCATATCACATAACACACCATCCAGAAACAGCTGACCTCAGAGAACACTGGAACTACTTTCTAAAAATGCTACTGAAGTGCCAGGTCAGGAGAAACAGTCTGAATGAATGGGATGTCATCCTTTTAAATGCAGTGTATTTTAGTGGATTTATTCAATCAGCAGCCTCTATATGATACTGTGTCTCCCTTATGAAAGCATATGTGTCTGGAAACAAAGTTTGGCAACAGGCTTGGCCCCACACCACCATTACCAATGATCCAATGGGAAATTGTGTGCTTCATATCCTCATAACTTTAAGCTCTAGAGTTTGGAGGGTCTTGTTCACAAAGGGGACACATTCTTGCCAGGAGAAACAAGTAACAACAATTTATGGCTGCCATCAGGGCACTTTGTACTCCTGTGTCCAAGGAGAAGCAGATGAGAAGAGGGGTCACCACATGGGAATGTATAACTGATTCTGACCATTAGGATGAGGCAGGGCTGCTTTTCTCCATTGGAGCCAAAAGGGGTTATATGTGAAACCCAAGTGAGCCACTTGGATACTTCCTTGTACTCTCTTGCCCCGTTGTAACTATGAATGGAAAAGTGCAGAGAACCCAGACCAAGAAGCTCTCAGAGCACTCAGGAATGAAGGTTTGGGTCACACCAGGTAAACCACCAAAACCTGCTGAGGAAATAGCTGAGGTCATGTTGTCCATCCCTTCCCTCATCCCCCAACCTGGCTCCAACATCTTTAGCCATTAAAAAGTTCTACTGGATCTCACTTCAAAATATATCTTACATCCATCTACTGTCTCTCATCTCCACTCCTACACCTTCATCTAAGCCATGATGATATCACACTTGCGTTACTTCAAGTCTCCTAAACAATTTCTTATCTCTCTCTTCGGCTGCGATCCACACCCCCAACAGTAGACAAAGTGATTAAAATTATATGTGTCAAATTTTTCACCAATTTAAAACATTTCTGTGACTTCCCACTAATTTTAATGTAAAACTTCAATTTCTAACATGGACTACAAAGCTCTGTGTGATCTCGTCATTTCCTGTTTCCATCCACATCTTGTACTATCTCCTCCATAGTTCACTAACCATTCAGGTCTTACTGACTTTCTTGACAGTGTGAGGCTATGCAAACTTTCTTGCCTCAGGGTCTTTGCACCAGCTGTTATTGTGCCTGGAACTTTTTCTTTTAGAATCTTTGTATAGCAGGCTTTCATTTACCATTTAGGTCTCAGTAAAAAAAGTCATCTATTTACTAATGCCTTTCCTGGTTATGCAGTGTAAAGTACTAAAGGAGGTTTCTTCTTTCCCCGCAACTCATGGTTATTTTTTTCTCAATAACCTGATTTTTATTATCTGTGTATTTTGTGAGTTTTTAAAATTATCTGTCACCTCAAATAGACTTTAAGATTGATGACTTCAAGAATTGCTTGGCTTGTTTGTCATTAAATGCTCAGTGCCAAACAGCACAAAGTATAAAGTAGATGCTCAAAAAATATGTTTATTGAATGAATTTGGTCACTGCCTAATAGAAGACACTTTTTACAAACAATTTTTCCTAAAAAAAGTGATATTTTGTCCTATAAATGTAATTTTGATAAAGATAAGTGGAGACTATCTTAGATAGTAGTTCAATTATGGCTTTATAAGGGAGATGCTATTTTATCTGCCATAGAGGCAGTAAATCACAATTCACAAGGACTTTTTTTTTTTTTTTTTAGACAGAGTCTCTCTCTGTCGCCCAGGCTGGAGTGCAGTGGCACAATCTCAGCTCACTGCAACATCCACCTCCCAGATTCAAGCTATTCTTCTGCCTCAGCCTCCTGAGTAGCTGGGACTACAGGCATGTGCCACCACGCTGGCTAATTTTTGTAGTTTTAGTAGAGACGGAGTTTCACCACATTGGCCAGGCTGGTCTCTAACGCCTGACCTCGTGATCCACCCACCTCAGCCTCCCAAAGTGCTGGGATTACAGGCGTGAGCTACTGGCTCCCAGCCACAAGGACATTTTTATGGGTAAAGTTACAGGAGGGTATATGGAGAGAATAAAGACAGAGATATCATAATCCCAGAATGCATTTATTTATAAGAATCCAATTATGTATCATTTACATTTTTACTCTGAAAATTTAATAAGCTCATTGTTGAATCTTTGGAATGTATATTTATATAATTTAGATATAATAACTTTTCCACCTTAATTTACTATTTTCCAATCTTTCTTTTAGAATAAATCAGATGTATAATTCTGTATTTTGCTTTATTCCCATTTATATCATATAATCATTTCCCCATATTTTCTCAAATAAAATTTAAAGATCTGTCTTTTAAGTGATCATATGAATGTGCCATGTTTATTTTAACCTATTTCTTTATACTCAAATGTTTAAATTCTTCTCAGTTTTTTAATACAATTTTGAACTTTTATATTTTCACCATAATTTTGAATTTATGAACTAGTGCTGGGAGAAGCATCTTCGCTAATTAATGTATATACATAATTCCAATTATTTCCTTATTATGTAGTCTCCAAAGTGTAATTTCAATGTCCTAATGCTTGAGAATATTTGAAGGCTGCTAAAGATCGATATTTATTTCCATAAATTCATAAATTTTGTACTAATTTACAGTCTCACCAGCAAGATTTGGTACACTTTTCATAATACCTATCCATCATTAAGCATCATTATGGTTTTGCAGACTTCATAATTTAATAGATGACATAGGGCATGTCATTACTATTTAGTTTTATGTTTATTTGATTACAATTTCAAATGTTTATTTTATACTTTAAAACTATTTTGTCATGCTTATGGCAATGACTTTTGTTTACTTCCTACTTTTTATGTCAGAATCTCAGGTTTTTCTTATTCTTATTTAGTTTTAATTTTAAAATAAATACTTACTAAGTTTGCAACCAACTAGAATATAAAACAAAAATCCTCTTTCCCCATATATATCTTTCTTTAACATTTTTCTTGATGTTACTATTTTATTTTATATGACACGTTTTGAGAATTAACCAATAATGAATTGACAGGCCAGGGTTCTTATTGTAGACACGCCATATCTTTTTGTGTGACCTTGAAAATAGAGAACAGATTTTATTCTAACACAGAGACAGCATGTGTCCACCCATTCATCCATTTGTTCATTTATTCATTCATAACTCTATTATTTTCATGAGTACCTCATGGGAAGACCTTGAAAATTTTCCATCTCTATCTCTCTCCCAAAGCTGCTGGATGCCTGAAATTGAACCATTAGTGAATCATTTTAGAGATGATTGCTCTGGAAAAAGGGGCTATCAAAATGTTCAACTGTAAAGAGTCAAGCAACAGGCAAATATCTACCTCCCTCTATCTTTTCCATCCTGTTCTTTCACTCCTTTTCCGCAAACGAGAAAGGCCTTGGGGAATTTTTGTCCCGGGACTCCTCATTCTTTCTTCCCATCTCAAAGCCTTTTGATTTATATTGGGAGGACCATGGTGAGGTTTCATGTTTATTTTGGGGTTGGGGACAGTTGTTTTTCTCACCAGTTATAGGTAAGAAACACAGAGTACAATTTCTTCCATTCTTAGCCATCTCTTGATGAATTAGGGTAGAAGGGGGTCCTACTACCTTTCTCTTGAATGAGAGCAGTTTCTTCTTCTCAGTTACATGTGTTTCTGGGGCCTGGATGAGTTTTTACCAGGGCTGGGACTAGGGTGACAGAATCTCAAAGGGTCCAGGTTAGGGTGAGGCAAGTGAGTGAATTGTGAAAGTGCTGGATTTATTTAAATTTTTTGTCCATCATGATTTTTTTTA
Organism: Homo sapiens; assembly: GCF_000001405.40. NCBI lineage: Eukaryota > Metazoa > Chordata > Mammalia > Primates > Hominidae > Homo > Homo sapiens. The sequence continues at coordinate 146,675,082 of NC_000023.11, forward strand.
TTGATTTAAAATTTTTAAAATATTGCATTAAAAAGATTCTCCTTGATTACTGAGTTGTTTTGATGGTCCCTACATTTTGTGCCCAAGTTGAGTGCCTCAGCTGCGTCATCCTAATCCTAGTATAAGCTTTGTTCCCCAGAGATGAAGGAGTCTTAGCATCATCTGTGGGCTACTCTGGCTCCTCCAATATTAACCAAAACTGGATGATCCCCAAACCCACTCTCAGCTGTCACTTTTGGAGAAAGTTTTGGGCTTCCTTCCATATCCATCTGCTTTAGCCCTGGGTGTATTCCACCTGTTTGAGTGAATGTCCTGTTCTGTCTAGATTCTGTGACCATTCAGTGGTTATCATCCATTTGCAATGTACACAAAAAGTGAAACAATAGTAAAAGGAACCGTGCACTTCAGAGACATCCACGGGCTTATTTAGTTTAGGAATTTGTGTCAGGTGTGGTTGCAGGTAATGGCAAGCAGGACACATTCTTCCAAGGCTCTGAAGCTGCAGAGGCCTGCACAAGGTACACTATTACATGGATTCTCAACATTCGTTACAAATTACGATCACCTGGAGAGCTTTAAAAAAGCCGGGCAAGGCTGGATGCTATAGCTCATGCCTGTAATCCCAGAACTTTGGGAGGATCGCTTGAGGTCAGGAGTTTCAGACCAGCCTGGCCAACATGGTGAAACCCTGTCTCTGCTAAAAGTACACAAATGAGCCAGGCATGGTGGCGAGCACATGTAATCCCAGCTACTCAGGAGGCTGAGGCAGGAGAATTGCTTGAACCCAGAAGGCGGAGGTTGCAGTGAGCCAAGATCGCGCCACAGCACTCCAGCCTGGATGACAGAGGAAGACTCCGTCTTAAAAATAAAATAATTTAAAAAAAATCCAAGATGGGGTACTACCTTTAGCTTTTCATTTAATTTGTCTAGGGAGAGGCCCACTCATTAGGGGTTTTAAAGTGCTTCAGGTAATATTATTGTGTAACCAAACTTAAAAACCACCGTTCTTTCGTTATTCAGAGGACAGCTGAGACTTACTCTTAAGGGTATGGAAAGCAGACTACTATGAGCCTTAAATGCCAAGTCAACAGTATCTAAGGGCTTTGGTAAAGAAATGTCTTCTACAGCCAAAATTGGTAACAGCAGAAGGAAGGATGGGGAGCAGAGCTTGGTGTTTCCATGAGATTTGAAATATGTTTCCCAATGATATTTATGATTGAGGCTGGGGGCTGACTTCTCTTTTTCCCCACTGGGTGATCCAATTTTTATTTAGTTTACGTTTGGAGGTGAACTCACCTATATATTTGTATATACCTGATATGTGTTGTAACAGTAACTTGTCACCTTTCTGAGAAATGTATTTAGTATTATGAGTCTCTGTTAAATCACAATGAATGGTCAATGAAGGCTTCTGAGGCCAAGGAATTAACAACCCTGTGTGTTTCCATATAGTTTCTATAAGATTATCAGTTTTGTCCAATACCGTCTATGTTAATTCATCTAGCAGATTTATTTTCCTTATGGCAATTATGAACTAGGAAATGAATAAACTATTTCTTCCATGATATGGTAATATGATTTATCAAAGTAATCTGATTTGAATCTAATGAATCTCATCAATTGGGTTTCTCAATATATTTTAAACATTTACCGAAAAGTTTCTTCCAAAATAAGTGTTTTCTTTGGGGCATACATACTAGATATCTTGCTTGTTTTTTGAACGTCTTCACAGATATATTTTTGCTGCAACTTTCAGGCTAGAGTGTAAAATCTCCAGTGGGCATCAGTCTCAATTTCAAGCCATTACTTCCTTCCTTCAGAAAACCTCCTCTATTTAAGAGAAGTAAGAGAGTACCACTGTGGAAAGGGCTGATATTGCTTCTCAGGTCGGCAAAGACCATAACCACGTGAGGAAGCTGGAAGAGTTTCTATCTTCATTAAACTAATAAGATTTTGAGGACTATTAGGGTAATGAAGATTAATAGTCTCATTATTCTTTCACATTTATGGTAAACCAAAGCCACAAATCATTGAAGAAATAAGTGTTTTCAAATATTACGTAATTGTCATGACTGGAAGAAGGAGGCAATACATTTTGGTTTCTTGCAATAAGCTTACCTTGTCTTTGCTGGGTAACCACAACTTTCTGTGGTCTAGATTATATTGCTGAAAATGAACATCATATTGTCTTCCTACTCTGACATTTATTAAATGTAGTTCTTGTTCTGTTGAGATGTTTGGAAGGTGGTGGGATATGGGATGCCAGGGCTGTTTCTTTTTTCTACATTTTGGAATTATTGATAGAATAATATTTCTGCAACACTGAACTAACGTCAAAAGATTACCACTGGGAGATTTTGAGTCAAGTTAATTGCCTAGGGATACATTGATGAAGAAAACTTTTGTTTTATTTCACAGTGACATAGTGGGAATTTACCTGGCACTTCCACTAAATTGCTGCATGAACTTAGGGTGGTCCCATCCCTTCTTGTGGCCCCAGTTTTCATGCCAACATACCGGAAATGAACCAGATAATCTCAAAACTTCCACCCAACTCAAATAATCTATGGTTTGTTGATTTATTCCTAAGATTATGTGAATTAATGCATGCAGGTTTTGCTTTATATCTAAGGAAAATAATTTTTCACAACAAATTCAGCATAGCAATGCTATAATGTTACTATCTTTACATTTTTAAAACTGTATTTCTTCTAAATAGCTTAATGCTCTCTGACATTTAGAATTATCTCAGAAGCATAGTCTAAATTTTATTTCATTAATTTTCACCATGTGTGAGCAGTGGTTACAGAAATGTTATTCTTGTTTTATAGGTTTATAAAAAATAAGGCAAGTTAAATTACATTCTTCAAGGCATCAAGGGATAAAAAAAATTAGAATTAAGTACTAGGATTTGGTCAGCATGGTGGAGGGGAAGAATGAGACACATAGAGGCTGCTGGAAGCTAGAGTTGGGTATGGGGTATGGGGACATCACATATGTAGGGTTGGTTGTGAAAGAGCCACTTGAAAGGAAGACAGAGGTAGTGGGCAGCAGCAATCAGGATGGTCATGATTCTGTCTGCCCAGCCCAGACTGTAAGAACTTATGTAAGAATTAGCTGCTAAGTGTGTAGGTGGGCCTGATAAGTCTTCAAACCCAACTTTTTTATCCGGTATCTAATTTTATTCTAAAAGCCCTATAGCAACAATTGTAGCTCAGACTTACCAAGGACCTATGTCAAAAACTGTGTTTTGTATTTTATATACATTATAGTGGTTAAATATTCAAAGGTAGTTATTATGTTTATTTTACATCTAAGAAAGCTGGAGTTCATAGAGGTTAAATGTCTTGGACCAGGTCACACAGCCTTTAAGTGGTGAAGCTGGCAGCTGAATCTAGATCTGTCTCAACTCAAATCTTCCCTTTACAAAATTTTTCTAGTAACCTATATTCAGTTTATAGTACTATCATTTTTGCCTGCCTATTTTATTGCTTTTTAGAAAATTGCAATCTTTATGAGAATTTTGAGAACTCTGTCCCTTGACATTGCATCAGTGTTAATAATAACTGATACTATCACTAGAGCCATGATTCTTCAAAAGGTAAAGAGATTTATTTGACTTTTTGTCCTATCTGTACAGGGAGCTTATTTTCATAACTCAAAATTTTTACATAAGGCCTATGGCAGCAGACAGTTTGTGATGGTTAATACTGAGTGTCAACTTGATTGCATTGAAGGATACAAAGTATTGCTCCTGGGTGTGTCTGTGCGGGTGTTGCCAAAGATTAACATTTGAGTCAGTGGGCTAGGAAAGGCAGACCCACCCTTAATCTGGGTGGGTACAATCTAATCAGCTGCCAGAGAGGCTAGCATATAAGCAGGCAGAGAAATGTGAAAAGAGACTGACCTAGCCTCCCAGCCTACATCTTTCCCCCGTGCCAGATGCTTCCTGCCTTCAAGCATCGGACTCCAAATCCTTCAGTTTTGGGACTCAGACTGGCTCTCCTTGCTCCTTAGCCTGCAGACAGCCTATTGTGGGACCTTGTGATCATGTGAGTTAATACTTAATAAACTCCCCTTTATATATATTTATATAAACTGACAAATACACAGTTTTTGTCACCTAAACTTGATTCCCCAAATGGCTCTATACATCTTTTTCTGCCCTTACCTCTCACCTCAGCTCAAATCCTGAAATTATTCCCTTCCCCTGTGGAACTCATAGTCAGTTATCCATAACATATCCTATACCCTTGACCTTTTCTCTGAAAGCTTCCTTCTCCTTTTTGTTCGAACTGTAACCTGGCTGTTCTCTGAGGACACTGCTTCCCCTACAGGACTCTCATGTTATGGTTGTTTCCCTCTCTTACATGTCTCATCCCACTAAGCCTGCAGGTGTAGAATACCATTTTTCCCTTCTGCTTCCTAATAGATCCCAGCACTGAATTCCACCTTTAGACTCTGCCATTCATTACCCCTCCCTATTGTGTCAACTACTTCTGAGTCATTTCTCCTCATTCCTCAGAGTTTTAATCTTGTGGCTCCCTGTCACACATTCCACCACAACTCCTTTCATAATTTTGGATGATTTTTGAATTTCTTCATGGGTGATATTTTCAATACCCTACACTAATAGTTTCTCAACCTACTCTTCTCCTCTAAAAGGTCTTATCTTCCACCTCACTTCAACCATCATTCCTAAAATCATTTCTAGACATTGTCATTACCAATGACCTGAATTTTTTTTGTATAATCTCCATTTCAAAAGTCTCATCTTTGAATAACTGCTCTTCTTTTTCCAGCTCACTCCCTCTACCCCCAATCTCCAAGCATCTTTAGTGTTCCCTGAGACCTTCAATTCATTGATCTTCCACCTTTTTCTTCTCTTTCACTCCACTCACATTTTTATTTCCCTCATTACTCAGCTTAAATTCTATCTTTATAGTGACTCACTGGCATATACTTTCAATCTCTTTGTTCCACCCTCCCTCCCTGTATCCAGTGAGGAAAAACAAAAACAAAAACAAAAACCCTGTTTCGTTAACACTACTCCCTTTCTACACTCATGCAGCTGGATGTAGGGGGTGAAAAACACCTAACCATGCCAACTTATGTCACTTTAAATTTATAACACCAATTCTCAAGTGATCCTTTAAGGTTGTCTAAAAGGAAGATCACCTTTCTCTCTTCCACTTTATTCTGTATCTTCCTACATTGCTAACAAAAAAAGAAGCAATCAAAAGTTAACTTCCACAAACCCCCCATTATAATTATTTATCTAGTTATCTGCAGCTGGGACCATATACTCTGTCTTCTCTCCCATTACAATAGTTTAACTTATTTACTGTAGTAAACTTCACCTTCACTTATTTGAGGACATCTGGCAATTCTTCCCTCTCTCTCTCTTAAATAATCTATTTTCCTCATTACTACATCTTTTCTGTCAGCATAAAACATGTTATAATAAGGCTGGGTGCGGTGGCTCACACCTGTAATCCCAGCACTTTGGGAGGCCAAGGCAGCGGATCATTAGGTCAGGAGATCCAGATCACGGTGAAACCCTGTCTCTACTAAAAATACAAAAAAAAATTAGCCGGGCGTGGTGGCGGGCGCCTGTAGTCCCAGCTACTCGGGAGGCTGAGGCAGGAGAATGGCATGAATCCGGGAGGTGGAGCTTGCAGTGAGCCGAGATTGCGCCACTGCACTCCAGCCTGGGCAACAGAGTAAGACTCTGTCTCAAAAAAAAAAAAAAAAAAGTTATAATATCTGTCTTGTTTACAACATCTTCCCTGTTACCCTACATCCTCCTCCAGCTATTCCTACATTGTTCTTCTCCCATCCTCTTACAGTTAAACTCCTTGAAGATATTATTTATATTTGCTTCCTCCAATTTATCTTCCTCTAACTTCCCCTGAACCCATCGCAGTTAGGTTATCATCTGAAATCACTTCTGTCATAGAGACCAAAAATATATATCCCTCTGTGTTCATAATTCTCATAAAAATTTTCAAACTTGCAGACACACTCAAAAAATAATACAGTAAACATACATGTAACCCAACTTACACTGAACAAATTTTAACATTTGAAATTATTGCTTTGCATTTTTATTTATTAAAAATAAATGTATAGACAAAACCCAGTTTAGTTCCATCTTTATCCAAGCTTAACCACTCTCCTGAACTTAGCGTGTGCCTTCTTCTTATTTATTTATTTATTTATTTATTTATTTATTCATTTATTTTTTGGATGGAGTCTTGCTCTGATACCCAAGCTGGAGTGCACTGGCATGATCATAGCTTACTGCAGCCTCAAACTCCTGGGCTCAAGCGATCCTCCCACTTCATCCTCCCAAGTAGCTAGGACTACAGGAGCAACCATTATGCCCAGCTCATATTTTTTAACTTTTCTGTAGAGATGGGGTTTCATAATGTTGTCCAGACTGGTTTGGAATTCCTGGCATCAAGCAGTCCTTGATTGCAACTTTTATCTATTTTTTTTTAGTCTATATATTATATACCTTTTTATGCATGAAAACAAGAATTCGTATTATTTCCACAATTTATGTAAATTATATCTTATTGTGTGTTATTATCCATGTCAGTTTCGCAAATATGTTTGGTTAGTAAAATTTACTGATGAGTTTTCTGTCTTATCTTTCTCTGATTTTATGTAGAAGTTGAATTACCTTAATGAAATGTGCCAATAAGCTCTTCACTTTCTCTACTCTTGAATAATTTGTGCAAGATAGGGTTTGTCTGTCCTCAGAGTGCTCACTAAAAATAAGCTGGTACATTTCTGTGGATAAATTTTTGAATTCTCACTAATTTTGTAATTAAAGGTCTAACATGGTTTTCTATTGTATTTATTCTCGTATCAGTGTTGGTAATTCATCTTTTTTCTAGAAAACAGCCAACTCTCTTGCTGCTCTTTCCTAGATGTTTCTTAATGGTAAGGATAAACCATTACAGCTAGATTTCAAGGATCTTTTATATAAACTACTCTGTATCTTCTTTCTACTTGGCCTCTTAAATTCCCATGATAGAAAGGTATTTTTAGCTTTGTTTTTACATTTGATCAAAAAATGTGTTTGTCTTTGTATAATTACCTGAAATCTTTATTTTTCATTATTACTATTATTGTATAGAAAGTTATTTAAGTTAAAAAATAAAATTAATTTTAAGTAACTCTGGCTAAAGAAGTTATTTTATTAGACATAAGAGGTATAGTTTTTGGTTTAATAATGAATATTTGTATTTATTTATTTATGTATTTTTAACTTTTGTGGGTACATAGTAGGCATATATATTTATGGGTTACATGAGATAATTCAATACAGACATACGATGCATAAAAATCACATCACAGTAAATGGAGTATCTATCACCTCAAGTATTTATTTGTGTTCCAAACAATTCATTTATACTCCTTTAGGTATTTTTAAATGTACAATTAAATGATTTTTGACTATAGTCATCCTGTTGTGTTAGCAAATACTAGGTCTTATTCATTCTTTCTAACTATGTTTTGCACCAATTAATCATCCCCACTTCCCCCCACCATCCTCCACTACACTTCCCAGCCTCTGGTAACCATTCTTCTACTCTCTATTTCCATGAGTTCATTTGCTTTAATTTGTAGCGATGTTTGACTTTCTGTGCCTGGTTTATTTCATCAACTTAACCTAATGACCTCCAGTTCCACCTATGTTGTTGCAAATGACAGAATCTCATTCCTTTTTATGGCTGAAAAGTAATCCCTGGCCTGTATGTACCACATTTTCTTTATCCATTCATCTTCATCTGTTGATGGACACTTAGGTTGTTTCCAAACCTTATCTATTGTAGAAAGTGCTGCCACAAACATGGGAGTGCAGATATCTTTTCAACACACTGATTCCCTTTCTTTTGATGTATACCTAGCAATGGGATTTCTGGATCATATGGTAGCTGTATTTGTTGCTTTTTGAGGAACCACTAGAGTATTCTCCATGGTGGTGATGCTAATTTACAGTCCCACCAACAGCGTACGAGGGTTTCCTTTTCTCTATATTCTTCCCAGCATTTGTTATTGCCTGACTTTGGGATAAAAGCAATTTTAAATGCTTGAGATGGTACCTCATTGTAGTTTTGATTTGCATTTCTCTGATGACTAATGATGTTGAACACTTTTTCATATGCCCGTTTGCCATGTGTATGTCTTCTTTTGAGAAATATCTATTCAGGTGTTTTGCCAAATTTTTATTGATTTATAGAGTGGTTTGAGCTCCTTACATATTCTATAGAGTGGTTTGAGCTTCTTACATATTCTGATTATTAATCCCTTGTCAGATGGTCAGTTTGCAAATACTGTCTCCCAGTCTGCGAATTATCTCTTTGCTTTATTTACTGTTTCCTTGCTAGGCAGCAGCATTTAACTTTGTGTGATCCTATTTGTCCACTTTTGCTTTGGTTCCCTATGATTGTGAGCTACTACTCAAAAAATCTTTATTGAGACTAAGGTCTTGGAGAGTTTCCCCAAAGTTTATTTGCAGTAGTTTCACAGTTTGAGGTTTTAGGTTTAAGTCTTTAATCTATTTTTATTTGATTTTTATATATGATGACAGATAAGGGTAGAGTTTCATTCTTCTGCATATGGATATCCAGTTTTCTCAGCACAATTAATTGAAGGGACTGCCCTTTTCACAATGTATGTTCTTGGTACCTTTGTCAAAAATGAGTTCACTGTAGACGTATGAATTTATCTTTGGGACCTCTAGTCTGTTCCTCTGATTTATGTGTCTGTTTTTATGCCAATACCATGCTACTTTGGTTACTATAGCTCTGTAGTATAAGTTGAAGTCAGGTAATGTGATTCTTCCAGTTTTGTTCTTTTTGCTTAGGATAGCTTTGGCTATTCTGGGTCTTTCATTATTCCATAAATATATTAGGATTAATTTTTCTATTTCTGTGAAGTATGTTATTGGTATTATGTACTGAATCTGTAGATTGCTTTGGGTACTATGGACATTTCAGCAATATTGATACTTCCAATCCATGAACATGGACTATCTTTCCTTTTTTTTTTTTCTGTCTTCTTAAGTTCTTTCATCAATGTTTTATAGTGTTTATTGTAGGGATCTTTCACTTCTTTGGGTAAGTTAATTCCTAGGTATTTAATTTTATTTGTTGCTATTGTAAATGGGGTAACTTTATTCATTTCTCTTTCAGATTGTTTCCTGGTAGGATATAGAACTAATTGTTTCAGATTATTTCCTGGTAGGATATAGCTACTAATTTTTGTGTGTTGGTTTGTGTCCTGCAACTTTACTGAGTTTGTTTATAAGTTTGAATCGTTTTTTGGTGGAGTCTTTAAGTTTTTCCAAATATACGATCGTATCATCTGCAAAGATAATTTAAGTTATTCCTTTCCAATTTGGATGGTGCCCTTTATTTTTTTCTCTTGTCTGGTTTCTCTACCTTGGAATTTCAATACTGTGTTGAATAATGGTGGTAAAAGGAGGTATCCTTGTGTTCCTGACCTTACAAGAAAGATTTAAAATATTTCCCCGTTCTGTATGACATTAATTAATTAATTATGGGTCTGTCATATATGGCTTTTATTATGTGGAGGTATGTTTCTTCTATACCCAGCTTTTTGAGGTTTTATCATGAGGGAATATTGAGTTTTATCAAATGCTTTTACAGCATCAATTCAAATGATCATATGAATTTTGCTCTTCATTCTGTTGACATAATTTATCACATTAATTGATTTTAATATATTGAACAATCCATGCATCCTAAGGTTAAATACCACTTGCTCATGATGAATGATCTTTTTAGGATATTATTGAATTTTGTTTGCTAGTATGTTTTTTTGAAGATTTCCACATCAATATTCATCAGTGATATTGGCCTATGGTTTTCTTTTTTTGGTGTGTCTTTGTCTGGTTTTGTTATCAGGGTATTACTGGCCTCATAGAATGAGTATATAAGTATTTCCTCCTTTTCTATTTTTCAGAATAGTTTGAGTAGCATTGGTATTATTCCTTCTTTAAATGTTTGGTAGAATTCAGCAGTGAAGCCATCTGGTTCCATATTTTTCTTTGCTGGGAGACTTATAGCTTTGATCTTATTTATTTTTTTTTTGTACACGTTTTGAATTTCTTCATAGTTCAATCTTGGCAGATTTTACGGATCTTAAAATTTATTTGTTTCTTTGAGGTTTTCCAATTTATTTGCATGTAGTTGCTCATAGTAGCCACTAATGTGCCCTTGAATTTCTGCAATATAAGTTATAATGTCTTATTTTTCATCTCTGATTTTATTTATTTGGATCTTATTTTTCTTTTTCTTAGTCTGGCTAAAGTTTTCTGAATTTTGTTTTCTCTTTTGCAAGGAAACAACTTTTTGTTTTGTTGATGTTTTGTATTATTTTCTTCATGTCAAATTCATTTATTTCTGCTCTAATGTTTATTTTTTTCTACTAATTTTGAGGTTGGTTTGCTCTTGCTTTTCTAGTTCTTTAACATGCATCATTAGGTTGTTTATTTGAAGGCTTTCTTTGTTTTTGATGTACACACGTATAAACTTCCCTCTTAAAACTGCATTCATTGTATCCCACTATATTGTGTTTCTGTGACCATTCGTTTCAAGAAATTTTTCAATTTTCTTCCTAATTTCTTTATTTATCCACTGGTAATTCAGGAGCATATTGTTTAGTTTTCATTGTTTATATAGTTTCCAGAATTATTCTTGTTTTTGATTTCTAGTTTTATTTTTTTGAGCAGAGAAAATGCATGATGTTATTTTGATTTTTTGAAATGTTTTAAGACTTGTTTGTGATCTATCATATGGTCTATCCTTGAGAATGATCCATGTGCTGATAAAAATAACTTATATTCTCTAGCCATTGGATAAAGTGTTCTGTAAATATCTAATTGGTACCATATAGTGCAGATTAAGTCTGATGTTTCTCTGTTGATTTTCTATCTGGAAGATCTGTCCAATGCTGAGAGTGGGGTGTTAAAGTCTCCAACTATTATTGTATTGGGGTCTACCTCTCCCTTCTTCTCTAATAATATCTGCTTTATATATCTGGGTGCTCCAGTATTGGGTATATTTATATTTACAGTTTTTATGTCCTCTTATTAATTTACCACTACATCATTATATAGTGGTCTTTTTCTCTCCTTATGATTTTGAAATCTATTTTGTCTGCTATAAGTATAGCTATTCTTGCTCTTTTTTTGTTTCCGTTGGCATGCAACATCTTTTTTTATCCCTTTATTTTCAATCTATGTGTCTCTCTACAGGTGAAGTGTATTTCTTAAAGGCAGCAGATCATTACATCTTGTTTTTCTCATCTATTCAGTCAATCCAGGTCTTTTGATTGGAGATTTTAATCCATTGACATTTAATATTATTATTGATAGGTTAGGACTTACTCCTGACATTCTGTTAATTTGTGTTCTGGTTGTTTTTTGGCCTTCTGTTCCATCTTTTCTTCCATCCTGTCTTCCTCTTAATAAATGTGATTGTCTTTGGTGGTATGATTTAATTTGTTGCTTTTTATTTTTTGTGCAACCATTATATGATTTTTGATTTGAGGCTACCATGAGGCTTACAAATACTGTCTTATAACTAATTGTTTTAAGCTGATAACAGCACTGCTTGCACACACAAAAAAAATGAACAAAAAGAAAACTAAATTAAATCTCTACACCTTAATTTTTTCCCTCTGCTTTTTAGCTTTTTGTCATTTCTCTTTATATCTTATTGTACCATCTATGTCTTGAAAAGTTGTATTCATACAACTATAATAGTTACTATTTTCAATCAGTTCATAATTTAATTTTTCTACTTAAGAGTAGTTTACACAGCACAGTTACAGTGTCAAAATATTCTGTGTCTTTTGTGTACTTATTATTGTCAGTTTTGTACCTTGAGATGATTTCTTATTGCTCATTAATGTCATTTTCATTCTGACTGAAGTACTCCATTTAGCATTTATTATAAAATAAGTCTGATGTTGATGAATTCTCTCAGTTTTTGTTTGTCTGGAAAAGTCTTTATTTCTCCTTCATGTGTGAAGGTTATCTTTGCTGGATATACTATTCTAGAGTAATGATTTCTTTTTCCTTCAGCGCTTTAAATATGTCACGCCACTCTCTCCTGGCCTGTAAGGCTTCTACTGAAAAGTCTATTTCCAGGCATATTGAATCTCCATTGTATGTTATTTGTTTCTTTTATCTTGCTGCTTTTAGGATCCCTTCTTTGTTTTTGACCTTTGAGAGTTTGCTTATTAAAGGCCTTGAGGTAGTCTTCTTTGGGTTAAATGTGCTTGGTATTCTACCTTCTTGTACATGGATGTTGACATCTTTCCCTAGGTTTGGGATTTTCTCTGTTACTATCCTTTTGAATTAACTTTCTACCCCCATCTCTTTCTCTACCTCTTCTTTAAGGACAATAACTCTTAGATGTGCCCTTTTGATGCTATTTTCTAGATCCCATATGTGTGCTTCATTGTTTTATACTGTTTTTCCTTTGTCTCCTCTGACTTTGTCCTTTCAAATAGCCTGTCTTCAAACTCACTAATTTTTTCTTTCACATGATCATCTCTGCTATTAAGAGACTCTGATACATTCTTCAGAATGTCGATTGCATTAAGTACAGAATTTCTGCTTGATTATTTTTAATTGTTGCAATCTCTTTGTTACATTTATCTGACAGAATTCTGAATTCCTTCTCTGTGGATTGTCTTTCATTTCTTAAAATTTCCTCAGAAGAGCTATTTCAAATTTTCTGTCTGCAAAGTCATGTATCTCCCTTTCTCCAAGATTGGTCCCTGGTGTCTTCTTTAGTTCCTTTCGTGAGGTGATGTTTTCCTTAATGATCTTGATGCTTTTGGATGTTTGTCTTTGTCTGAACATTGAAGAGTTAAGTATTCATTGTAGTCCTTGCAGTCTGGCTTTTTGTACTTGTCCTTCTTGGGAAGGCTTTTCAGGTTTTTGAAAAGACTTGGGTGTTGTGATATACTTAAGTTAATTTCTGATACATGGATAAACAAATGTGTATATGGGCAAGGAAATAATATGAAGATAATTTAAACAAAACTATAAAAAGAAAGAATGTTAACAGCACTATCAATTTGTACAACATATATTAAAATAAAATGAAGTTATATTTTCACATGGAACTGAGAAAATTAAATACAGTATGAAAACCTAGTTTAAAATAATAGTTATATATCACAACCTACACTGATGCAATCCTTTCAGAAAACAATTTATATTACAATGTATTACAAGAGAATACCTGAAAGCAGGAGTACACAGCTCTATGTTGTTTATAAAATTAAATCCTGAAGAATACTCAATTATACAACATTAAATTTTAAAATAAAACATGGCATATTAGCTACAGAATGATATAGAATTGTTAAATTTTTCATTATTAAGAAAAACAAACCAAAACCAAAATTTTTCATGCAATAATATTCTCAACATGTTTATGTTGCCACATTGTCATGCAACTATGGAAGAATATATAAAGCACAAGGGTGAAAAATAGATGTAAGCCCAAGGAAATAAAAATTGTTGTATTATAATGGAAGGACTATGAGTACATTAGAGGAGACTGCCAGTTTATTTAATAATAGGTGTCGCCTTAGTTAAGTTTTGGGCTATCAGCCAACTGAGAAGTTAGATTTTAATCTTGTCTTCCCTGAGCCTCTAAAAGTTTCAGATAACTTCAGCTTCTATTTTTATATAATTCTCTTTTTGTAAGAAATCATGTCACTGTACTCTCTTCAATAACAACAATCTGTCAGTCTATGCTTGAGCCAGTAACGTATTGCTTTAATTTCTGCAGATTTGTATAAAGCCGAATATCTGGTAAGGCTGATATGTTTGATCACTCTCCATTTTCAGAATTTTCCTAGATAATCTCTAATGTTTATTTTCTTACATATATTTTACTGTCATCTTGTCAAGTTCCCATATTCTTTAAATTTCGATGCTAGTGCATAAAATTTATAGTTTAATTTGCAAGAATTGGCACTATGACTATGTTGTACCTCTCTATTCAAAAATAAAACATACATCTCTATTTGTTCATGTTCTATTTGTTTGTTAGCTGAGTTTTATAGCTTTCTTCATATAATACTGATGAATTCCTTATTACATGTATGTCTATGTGTTTCACATTTTGTGACTATTGAAAATTGAAAGCTTTCTTTAGTTATATTTTAAGCCCATTATCTCTTATCTATGGAAAAACTACTGATTTCTGTATGTTATGGAGACAGTCACATCACTGAACATTTTTGTTACTTTTAGTAGTTTTTCACTTTATTATTTGAGTTTGCAGAAGACAAATTCTATCATCTGCAAGTAATATTAATTTTGCTTCATTCTTTTTAATATTCAGTTTTCATGGCTTCAATTTTAATAAATTATTTATGTTTTGTTCTCAGAAGAAAAAGTCTGTTGATCACTATACTTACTGAATTGTAAAACAAATGTTTTTTGAATCATCATAGAGTAGCCATTAATTAAGTGGGTCATACTGTGTGCTAGACAAGGCCAGATAAGCACGAATTAATGGCTGGGGAATTCTGAAACCCTGCACTGCACACAAACACTAAAATGAATCTCATTGTTATTGTTCAACAGAGATGAAATGTACACTGACAATGTTAATTTCTCACTTAATTGTTCTCATTTTTCAATATAGTAAAAACAAATATCTAGTGAAACATTAGTAGGTTAAAAACGTGCACTAAGACTTGGATTTGGCAACAAAAGCACAGGTAGCAAAAGCAAAAGTAGACAAAAGGGACTACATCAAACTTAAAAACTTTTCCTCAGCATACGGGAGAATCAACAGTGAAAAGGCAACCTACAGAATGGGAGAAAATGTTTCCAAACCATACATCAGATAAGGTATTAATATCCAGAATGTATAAAGAACTCTTACAACTCAATAATAACAAAAAATAACCTGATTTTAAAATGATCAAAGGACTTGAGTAGACATTTCTCCAAAGATATACAAACGGCCAATAATTATAGAAAATGATGCCCTAAATTACTAATTATAATGGAAATGTGAAACAAAACCACAATGGGATATCACCTCACACCTGTTAGAATGGCTACTGTTAAAAAACAAGCAAGCAAGCAGAAAATAACAAGTGTTGGCAAGGATGTGGAGAAATATGCAGTAGAATATTATTCAGCTTAAAAACTTATTTATGTTCTGTTATAAAGCAGTTTGTTTAGAGGGAAATTGTGTCATATGCTACAAATGGATGAACCTTAAGGCCATTGTGCTATGTGAAATAAGCCAATCACACAAAAAAACAAATACCTCATAAATATGCTTGTAATCAAATTCATAGAAACAGAAAGTAAAATGGTAGTTTCCAGGGGCTCGTAGTGGGAAGGAGAAAACTGGAAGTTACTGTTCAATGGGTATACAATTTTAGTCATGTAAGGTAAAAAAAAAAAGTTATTGAGATCCACTCTACAATAATGTACATATAATCAACAATACTATAGCAAACACTTAAACATTGTTATTAGGATAAGTTTATGTTACATGTTTTTTACCATAATAAAAATGTGAGGTAAAATAAGGCATTTTATGGAGGAATAAATGCTTTTCCCATATTACTCAACTCCTCTGAAGTCTTTTGTTGGCTCTATTTTTGCTTCATTTATCAATGATCACATAGATAAAATGGAACCCACAGGAAAAGAGCTAGCTAACTACCCTGGTAAGAAGGAAACAAACATGAGTTTCATGCATTAATTTCACTATTACAGACCATATACTTCTTCAGGATTTATTAGATGCAATGAGCCACCGTCTCTAGAAATGATCTTCTCTTGGCAAAAATGATGTCAAACCACCAGTCTTTCTCTTATTTTAACAATCTTTTATCGGTCTTTTTGCTGATTGCTATCTTTTTATTGATCTTTAACTGTTGAAGTGCTCCAGGGCTATGTCTTGAGCCCTCTCCATACTTTATGTTCTCTCTATTCCTAAGTGACCTTATTCTGTCTCCCTTGATTCAGATACCACCTATACGCTAATAATGTCCAAAGCCGTCTCTATCCTTTATTTCTTTAATAAGTTCCAAATTCAAATCCAAATGGATTCTTGAAGTTCTCTACTTGACCATCTCACAGGGATCTCAAAAATCTACCCAGTCATTAAAGCCAGAAATCACTGATTCATTCATTATTGCTTTAACTCCCTCATTCTTTTAATCCATCAGCATATCACATTGATGCCATCTCCCAAGCTTATCTTCTACCTGTCAACTTCTCCCTATACTTACTGTCACAATGTCAGTTCAAGCTGTAATGTTTTCAAATCTAAACTGATAAATACCCATGCCCACGTCTATTATGTACAGGCATCCCTTGGTATATGCAGTTGATTGGTTTAAGATCCCCAACATGCAAAAATCTATGCATACTGAAGTTCCACACTCAGCCCCGTGTATTCAAAAAGTCATCCCTCAGTATAGCCCATCCTGCAAATATTGTGTTTTCAATGCACCACTTGGTTGAAAACAAATCCACCGATAAGCAAACCTACACAGTTTAAATTAATGTTGTTCAAGGGTCAATTATACTATCATTAAATATTTTCAATATTATGCTTTCTAACTGCCCTGTATCAATAGCCGTGCCCCTATTATTATTCTCTACCACTGCAATCCATGTTTGTATAGTAATTAGTTGTTTATTTTATTTTTCTCACTGGGTTATAATTTTTCTGTGGACAGGAGCTACATATGTCCTGCTCAGCATTATCACCTCAACATCTAGTAGTGTATCTGGCTCATAGTAAGTCTTTACTAAACAATTGTTGGTTAAAACGATAAATATTTGAGCACTTAACAATATTTCAACAACTGTTGGTGGTACTTCATATATGCTATTTTATTTAACCTTCACCATAATGTTACAAAGTAGTTGTTTTTCTTTCCATTTTTACAAAAGAGTGAACTGAAATTAATATCATGTCCACAGCTATATGGCTACAAAATGTAGTTTTGGAATTGAGACTTATTTCTGTGTGGTTGCAAAGCAGTTTCTTTAGAATGCACACACTAGTATAGGATAAAACTGAGGTTTTAGTTTCACATTCACTATTATATTACTTGTGTGGTCTTGGGCAAGAAGCATATTGATCCAGGATTTCATTTTCTTAAGTGCTATCTTATTAGTCTGTGGACGATTATAAAGTAGTAAAATTTTATACAAATGATATCATTCGTGTTCTTAATGCTGTTTATGATAGTCAAGGAATGATGGTTTCTCAACTTCATTTCATGATGCTTATCACTCAGGAGCAACATCACTTGCTCCTGGAATTTTCAGACGTGTGCCTCAATCACTTTGTCCTTACAACTAATGATTATTTCAGCTTCAGTTCCCCAAATAATATGAGGCAGTACTTGCTGTTTTTTTCCACATAAAATTTATCTCCAAGTACTTCTAGGAAAATTCACTAATAAGTAAAGGTTGAGTACCTGGTGCCTTCTCTATTTGTTCCACCATTTAGGGGAAATTGGACATCAGATGGGCAACTACTTACGTTTATGGTCCTGTCAATTCTTTCCCTCTTCTTTGGAAGTTCAGGGCTTCATTTGGAACATAAAGAGAATCTTTTTTTTCTTCACATGCAATTTTTTAATCAGGATACCCAGAGGCAAAATGTATTCATATGAACAGAACACACCCATTAACACAAATTATATTGGAATATAGTATATATTGGTTTATGTTAATCACTTAACCAGACACAAAGGACAGCATATTCTAAATGATTCTCTGTAATTAATGACTTTAGTGTGGTCATGAAAGTGTAGTTGCAGCCCCCAGTGATGTTCCTCATTAGATCAGTGCTGCTGACTGCTTCTCTCTCTGAGGCAGGGATCAGGAAAGCACTGCTAACATGGCTGTTTTCTGCAGCAGAACATAGAAGAGGGAGGCCACAACCTAGACTAGTAAATTAAGGCCTAACTAAAACCACTATAAAAATGGCGTGAATATGCAGTGAGCCGAGATTGCACCACTGCTCTCCAGCCTGGGCGACAGAGCAAGACTCCGTCTCAAAAACAAACAAACAAACAAAAAAAGGCATAAATAAATAATTAAAACACTAAGGGTTGGGTTAATACTTCTTGGTTTTTAACAATTTTATTTAGCATTTGATTTTCTAATTATTATAGGAATATAGTTAAAAATGGCAGATTAAACAACCACATTTTAACTTTACGCCTTTTCACAGTCTATTAAAATGGGAAAAGGAACAAAAAACTTCAAATCCGTAATAATAGAGAATATGGATGAGAAAATGATACCAAAAATGAATTGTCAAAAATGTTGCGAGATGGAGAGATAAGAGGTAACTGAATTAGCACAATGGAGATAGATGAAAACCACTTCCAGCAGCAGGAACTGTAAACAAGGTATCATTTTTCTCAGATTTGTCAGTTTCCTCAGAGAAGGATGCCACAACCTCCTGTTTGAGAGATAGAAAACTGGCTGCTGATGTTCTGGCATCCAAGTGGGAAATAGGGTTAGAATGTCATTGATAACTATGCCAATTTTCATTTAGTTTTCTTGTTTTCAATCTGTGTAAAGCTGACTTGTGCTGTATCATTCCATCTTGGAAAGGCTTAGAAATTAGAGGTACCAGGTACCTCTGGAAGCAGAAATGCAGTCCAGATGGACTACAAATAGTAGTAGTGATAAATCGTGTATATTCAGGAGCTGTATGGCTACCAAGATCCTCTTCAAAACCCATAAGCAGAAGATCGTAGTTTTCATCTCTGCAGAGATTGAGGAGGTTGGACTTAAAGAAACTCTGGACTTGCAGAAGCTAGATGCAGTTCAGGGTGAAGTACCAGATTTAACATAGGGTAAGTAAGTAAAAATCAACATAGTGAACCATGAGATTCTACTTCCATTTTCCAACTTGGATGCCAGAACACTGGCAGTCAAATTTCTCTACTCTAATCAGGAGGTAGGAGCTTCATTCTTTGGGGAAACTGGCAGACTTAAGAAATAAGATACCTTAACAAAAGACAGGATTTTTATCTCATTTCACGGTGACGCCCACCAGTTAAATTCCTCTTTTTTTTTTTTTTTTTTTTTTTTTGAGACGGAGTCTTGCTCTGTCACCAGGCTGGAGTGCAGTGGCGTGATCTCTGCTCACTGCAACCCCGGCCTCCCGGGTTCAACCGATTCTCCTGCCTCAGCCTCCCGAATAGCTGGGATTACAGGCACGCACCACCACACCCAGCTACTTTTTGCATTTTTAGTAGAGACGTTGTTTCACCATGTTGGCCAGGATGGTCTCCATCTCCTGACCTCATGATCCACCTGCCTCGGCCTCCCAAAGTGCTGGGATTACAGGCGTGAGGCACCACGCCTGGCCTGCATTCCTCTACTCTTAAACCCCCCATCACTTCTAGTCCATATTTTAGTGGTTCATTTACCCTTAAATATAAACTGGCATCCATGTTTTAGTAGACATCAAATAAAACATTTGACCTAAAAGATAAGACAAAAATAAAAAAAAAAAATGAGAGAGAGTTGGAGGAGATAATATATAAAGGAGAAGGAAAGAGAGAAGAAACTATTGATGAAACAAGAATATGCTATTAAAACAAATATTCAAAGAGTGGTATTTGAAATTTTAAAAAGTGGTAGCAGAATCAATTTGGCAATTGAAGGGTGAGGAGGGACATAAAGGTAACAAAATCTTTCTGAAAGACGAATAGTGAAAGATTCAATAAATTTGAAGAGATGGAAAAATAGGAGAGAAGATGTAAGAAACTTAGAGATCAATTCAAGAAGTCTAACATCAGCTCATTGGAGAAAACACAAGGAGAGAAATGTAGGGACCACACGAGCTTTTAGAGATAAAACACTTAAAAATAAGTCACATCCCAAGAAATGTTTTAGAGATAAAACACTTAAAAATAAGTCACATCCCAAGAAATGGGAATCAGAATGACATCAGAAATCTTAACAAAAATGGAATCTAAAAGCAATGGAGAAAAGGAGGACTTTTTTTTTTTTCCCAATCTATGATTCCAAACCAAGCCAAACCATTCTTCAAATATGATGAGAGATTAAAGATAGTTTAGACATGCAGGATCTCAAAAAAAAATCTACCTCTTAAACATCCTTTCTTAAGAAGCTACTGAAAGATGTACTACACTAAAGCAAGGGGTTCCACCGCTAGTGAGAAAGACTTGAGATCGAGAAAACAGAAGATTCCACATAGGAGAGAGGAGAAAATGATTCATTCAGATTAGGATATGAGGAAATTCTATGATAATAGTTCTGCATCAGGCAGAGAGGGCAAAGAGGGCAGTCAGTCCAGACTGAAACGGGATAACTGAGAGTACTAAGAAAGTGTCATAATAGAGGAAAAAATTGAACCAACAAGCAACCTTATTTGTTTGATTGTAATAAAAGGGTTTAATCTCTGGAAGAGATTTTGGGATTAGATTAGGAAGAGGCCTATGCTTATTGTGTGCAGGTATATGTATATATAATATTATTTATAATATATTATATATTATATACAGTTGGCTCTCTGTATCTGTGGGTTCTGCATTCTTGGAGTCAACCAACTGCCAAGCAAAAATATTAAAGAAAATTTTCACAAAGTTCCAAAAAGCAAAACTTAAATATTATAAGTAACCTAGAGATTATTTAAAGTATATGGGAGAATAGAGGGTATACGCAAATACATCCCGAAGCCAATTCCCATGGGTATATAAGGACAGCTGCTTATGTATGTATATATGTATATTATATATGATATAATTTTATGTATGTAATAAAATGTACTAAAATATATGTAGGAGCAAGGTCATTATTGATTCCTTCAAAACAAAAACAGTTTTAAGGAACGTAAATGTAATCATAGTATATACTATAGCTCATATCTGATTAATATTTATATAGTTGTCATAATGGAAACACTGACAAGTCATGTAGTCAAAAATTAAAATTATGAGGGAACTATATTTAGAAGATGGCTAGAAAACTGCATTTGAGTGTGAAGTTGAAAAAATAGTGATACAAATAGCTAAATTTCCTCCTCTTCCTAGTTGGAATTTTATAGCGTATATAACTGAAAATTTTGGAAATAGCAATAAAACATGTTATTTCGAAATGTGGAGACAACACTGGAAAAAAAAATCTCAAATTTTAAATTGGTTACCACCATGGCAAGGGGAGTGAAATTATTGTACCATAGAGCCCACCAATGATTTTTTATAAGCTTTGTGATAGTATTTGATTATTCAAATTGTATTCATCCTTTACTTTGGTTAAAATAAAATTTCTTTGAAATTGGGTATTTTGTAATGCAGAATACGCCGTAAGAAATAAAAACTGCATTACTTTCAATTTACCACCCCAAAAATTCTGTCTCCATCTTCTGTATCAATCAAATGGTTTGTATTTGTTTTCTGTTATCACACCACATAAAAGTGGCTGATATTTATTTCACCAAACTTTCAGAGTATGTTTGGGATGTACTGGTTTAAAATTAAGGGTATGTAAACAATAAAATTCACTTGAGGACCCAGAGATGAGCACTTCAAAGGGCAAGACAGATGGCTTATTAACACATGAAATGTCTTATTGGTGAAATGCAAATAGAAACCACAATGAGCTATTATTTCACACCCACAATGGTGGCTATAATAAACATCAGACAATAATAAGTGTGGGTGAGGATGTAGCAAATCGAAGCCCCCATACATTGCTGATAGGAATGTAAAATAATGCAAGCCCTTTGAAATAGGTTAGCATTTCTTCAAAAAGTTAAACATAGATTTACCAGATGACTTAGCAATTCCACCCCTTGTTATATATACAGTAGAATTAAAAACATACAGGCCAGGTGCAGTGGCTCTTACCTGTAATCCCAGCATTTTGGAAGGCCAAGGTAAGAGGATCATTTGAGTCCAGGAGTTCCAGATTAACCTGGGCAAAATAATGAGACTTCATCTATACAAAAAATCCAATTTTTAGTTTTTTAAAATTAAAACAAAACCACAGATGTTCACAGAAGCATTATTCATAATAGCCAAATGTAGAAGTGTTTTGTGTTCAAGATGTTTGTCTTTTGTTCCAGTACTTTTTTTTGTTCTGACTTTTTATATTTAGCAGTATTCAACACATGAGATTTATCATAAAAAAATTATCAAGTAGAAACTTTACTTAACTTTAACATAGTTAGCTAATTTTTCTAATACCATTAGTGAATTGCTTTATTCTTTTTCCAGTTATTTTATCATGGACTTGGTTTGTTTCTGGATTTTCTAGTCTTAACTTTTTGTCTGAACACTTTCATATGTAAACATATATACATATGTATACATGTGTATGTGTGTGTGTTTATCTAGACGAACAAGCTAATGTAATTAGACAAAGCTCTAAAACGGGTGTCCAATCTTTTGGCTACCTTGTGTCACATTGGAAGGAGAGAAAATACACTAACACTAATGATAGCCAATGCACTAAAAAAATGCAAAAAAATCTCACAATGTTTTAGGAAAATTTATGAATTTGCATTGGGCCACTTTCAAAGCTTTTCTGGGCTCCATGTGGCCCACAGGCTGCGGTTTAGACAAGCTTGCTCTAAAATAAGAGTTATAAATAAATAGAAAGGGAGAAACTAAATTGGCCTTATTTGCCAATTATATGACAATGTACATATAAAACCAAGACTATAAGACGAAAGAGTGAATAAAACCTAAAAGTTTCCATAGTTTCTGGAAAAATGGCTGATTCCAGGGATGAAACAGGAAAAAAATAAAAGATCGTCCAGGGGCATTTTGTAGTGCCTGAAAGCGATAAAAACAACTGAGGGTATGACAAAGTGGCACAGGGACAAATGGAAGGAGCTCCCAATGTCCAAACCAGAAGAATTTCAGCAAAAAAAATAATAAATTAAATAAACTAGTATTGGATTATAACCCAAAATATAAAATGAGTAGCCGTAAGTTCTTACTGATACATATTAATTTTTGAAGAAAGGAAGGAAGGATGGAAGGATGGATGGCTGGAAACTGTCACAGCCAAGAGGAGTTTAAGGAGACATCATGACTAAAAGTAATGTTGTATCCTGTTATATCAGATACATATTAATTTTTGAAGAAAGGAAGGAAGGAAGGATGGAAGGACGGACGGACGGAAGGAAGGAAGGAAGGAAAAAATCTGTAAAGAAAAATTTCAAATAATTTAGGTAGATACTCCCCACTCCAATGAAGGAGATCAGCATGACTTCTCACCCTTAACTGTGGACTGTGCATAGTTACTTCCTTCCAAAGAGTATAACATGCAAAGGAGGGGGGAGAGAGTGGGGTAACCTGACAAACAGCTATCTCAGCCAGGTGATTAATATCAACTTCAATAGTGATATTATATTCTTAGTATGTATGCACCTTTTTTTTTTTTTTTCTGATGGAGTCTCGCTTTGTCACCCAGGCTGGAGTGCAGTGGTGCGATCTCAGCTCACTGCAACCTCTGCCTCCCGGGTTCAAACAATTCTCCTGTCTCAGCCTCCGGAGTAGCTGGGACTACAGGCACACGCCATAACACCGGCTAATTTTTTTTATATTTTTAGTAGAGGCAGAGTTTCACCATATTGGTCAGGCTGGTCTCAAACTCCTGACCTCAGGTGATCTGCCCGCCCCAGCCTCCCTAAGTGCTGGGATTACACGTGTGAGCCACCGCGCCTGGCCTATGTATGTACCTTTGATATGATGTAATGTTAGTGGCATTTTGCCTCTGTATTCTTCCTCCTCAAAATTCATAAGGCCAGTCTAATCATGAGCATAGTATCAGAAAAACTCCAGTTGAGAGACATTCTGCAAAATACCTGACCAGTACTTCTCAAAACTGTCGAGGCCTTCAAAGACAAGAGAACACTTGGAAATTGTCACAGCCAGGAGGAGTTTAAGGAGACATGATGACTAAGTGTAATGTTCTATCCTGTATGTGATCCTAAAACAGAAAAAGTACATTAGATAAAAACTAAGAATATATGAATAAAATATGTGCTGTAGTTAATAATAATATATCAATATTGGCCCACTGGATGTGACATTTACCATACTAATGTGAGATATTAGGAATAATGGAAACTGGCTATGATTTAAAATTTCATAATTTTAAATACATTTAAAAATAAAATGATGGGTACAGGGACTCTGTGTTACCTTTGCAACTTTTCTGTAAATCTAAAACACTACAAATGTTTCTCATAGCTTTTCAATAGTAAATTTGCTGTCAACAGAAAGAAATCGGGGAAAAGGGAAAAATATTAAAGAACAAGCAGAAAAAGAAATGAAAAAAGTAAAATGCTGTTGGTGATAATGTAAAATGATGCAACTGCTTTGGAAACAGGATGGGCGTTGCTCGAAAAAATAACAGAATTATCATATGATCCAGAAATTCCACATTTAAATATACATTAAAGAGAACTGAAAGCAAAATCTTGAAGACATATTTGCACATCCATATTCAAAGCAGCATAATTCACAATAGGCAATATGAAGCAATCCATATGCCCATCGACAGATGCATGGATAAGTGAAATGTGGCATGTACATATACATAATTACATATTATTCAGCCTTAACAACAAAAGGAAATCTTGTCACATGCTACAACATGGATGAATCTTGAGGACCTTATTCTAAGTAAAGTAAGCCAGGCGCAAAAAGAAAAATGTTTCATGATGCCCTTTGCATGGGGTATCTAAAGTGGTCAAATTTATAGTGACTGAAGTAGAATGGTGGTTGGCAGAGGGCAAACCATGAGGGGGCTTTAATGGATGCATGTTTCAGTTTTGCAAGATAAAAATGTTCTGGAGATCTGCTGCACAACAAAATAAATATATGTAACACCAGCAAACTCTGCATTTAAAAATGGTTGGCCGGGCACCGTGGCTCAGGCCTGTAATCCCAGCACTTTGGGAGTCCGAGGCGGGTGGATCACAAGGTCAGGAGTTCGAGACCAGCCTAGCCAATATGGTGAAACCCTGTCTCTGCTAAAAAATACAAAAAATTAACCAGGCGTGGTGGCACACGCCTGTAGTCCCAGCTACTTGGGAGGCTGAGGCAGGAGAATCACTTGAACCCGGGAGGTGGAGGTTGCAGTGAGCCGAGATCGTGCCACTGCACTCCAGCCTGAGCAACAGAGTGAGACTCTCTCTCAAAAAAAAAAAAAAAAAAAAAGGTTAAGATGGTGGATTTTATGCTATGTGTTTTTTATCATAATTTCATAATTTTAAATACATTTAAAAATGAAATAAAATGGATAACTGCAAGGACAAATGCTATGACCAAACGTTATGAAAGAAAATTGTAAAAAGTCTTCTGAGTGACATAAACAATAAATATAAAAGGAAGAAATATACTCTGTGGCCTTGGCTGGGAAATTTCAATATTGTTAAAGTGTGTTTTCTTCAAAAATAATGTAAACAACAACAGTATAAGAGTCAAAATTTATTCTGATTTACGGGGAGAGGGAGGACTTGACAAATCATTCTAAAATTCATTTGAAATGATAAAGTTTGAAGGATATGCAAAAAGTACTAAAAATAAATAATGAGGCAACACATATTTTAATGCATATGTTTGGGTGTGTATATGTGTGTGTGCATATGTATATATGTAAATATATGAGAAAATGTGATTTACTGTCTGGCTACTGACTTATTTTTGATACTGTGCTGATTTTAACAGAAATACTTAACAGGCATTTCAATATGAGATATGTACTTTTTACTCTATTAAATAGCCATTCATCTATCTCCTTTTTATTAACAATTTAAAAGTAAGAGATTTTGAGTTTTATCACAAATGCCTTTGGCATCTGTAAAGATGACCATATGCTTACAAATTATCATGATCGTCTGCATGATTTTTCATGCATACAATCAAATATAGTGTAGCTAGATTTTCTTTATTTCTTGATTACATCTGCTAGTTACTTACCTGCTTTTATTTTTTTAACATCAAAGTAAGAATTCTTGTATATTTTCATTTTTATTACTCTTAAGAATAAATAGTTCTTACTTTTATGTTGATTAAAGCAAGCCGATCTTCTGTTTCTTGAGTTAGAATATTTTTATTTTTCCAACTTCTTGAAGCAAATGTATAATTTATTCCTCTTCATATTTTCATTTGGAAATCTTTAAAACTATTTGTCCAAGATGGTCTTTGCAGCTCATATTATATACAGTGTGTTGTTTCAATCACTATTATTTTCAAGCCATTTAGCAACTGCAGTTCTGATTTCCCTTTTCATTCTATTATCATGGGGGAGATATTTTAACTTTCCAAGTGGTTGTATTTTGTTGCCATTAATTTCCAAATTTTTTCAATATGTCATTAATTAAGATTTACATGTTGGCCTCATATAAGATCAATATTTGTAAATTCTTTGTGACTTCTCTGAAGGAATAAGTATTTACTATTTGTGACTTAGAGTGGTAAATATATATTTAATAAATTGCATCATTTTTCATATTAGTTACATTCCTTTTGCCTGCTCTTTGTTGTCAGACATGAAATTATCTATGTTTATGAGTCTCCCAACAGTATATATATATATATATAGTGTTTTGATCAATTTACTCTTTTAGTATGTAGTTTTGCTTTGTATTTTTTGACATTGTGTTTTGTTTAGTACAAATATAAAATGACTATAAAATGTCCTTTGTGAATTTATTTTGCTATCATTAAAATAACCAGTATATTCCCATTAATTTTTATTTTTATTTATTTTTTCAACGTTTATTTTGTTTTATTTTATTTTTTGTTTTTTTAGACGGAGTTTCGTTCTTGTTGCCCAGGCTGGAGTGCAAAGGTGCAATCTTGACTCACTGCAACCTCTGCCTCCCAGGTTCAAGCGATTCTCCTGCTTCAGCACCCCAAGTACCTGGGATTACAGGTGTGCGCCACCACGCCAGGCTAATTTTGTATTTTTAGTAGAGACGAGGTTTCACATGTTGGTCAGGTTGGTCTCAAACTCCTGACCTCACGTGATCCACTCGCCCCAGCCTCCCAAAGTGCTGGGATTACAGGTGTGAGCCACCGTGCCTGGCCTGAACTTTTATTTTAGATTTAGGCGGCACATGTGCAAGCTTGTTACATGTGTATATGGAATGATACTGAAGTTGGGGTTACAAATGATCCCATCATCCAGGTACTGATCAGAGTACCCAATAGTTTTTCAACCCTTGCCCCCTCCGTACACCCTCTAGTAGTCTGCTGTTTGTATTGTGCTCATTATGTCCATGAGTACCCAGTGTTAACTCCCACTGACATGTAAGAATACGCAGTATTTGTTTTTCTGCTACTGTGGCATTTTGCTTAGGAAAATGGCTTCTAGCTCCATCCATGTTGCTGCGAATGACATGATCATGTTCCTTTTTATGGCTGCATAGTGTTCCATGGTGTATATGTACCATATTTGCATTATCCAATTCACAGTGGATGGGCACCTAGGTTGATTCCATGTCTTTGTTATTGTGAATAGTGCTGTGATGAACATATGAGTTCATGTGTCTTTTTGGTAGAGCAATTTTTTCCTTTATGGTATATACCCAGTAATGGGATTGCTGAATCAAATGGTAGTTCTCTTTTAAGTTTTTTGAGATATCTCCAAATTGCTTTCCACAGTGGCTGAACTAATTTACATTGACACCAACAGTGTATAAGTGTTTACTTTTCTTCACAGCCTGGCCAGCGTATGTTGTTTTCTGACTTTTTAGTAATAGCCATTCTGACTGGTGTGAGATGTTATCTCATTTTGGTTTTGATTTGCATTTCTCTGATGATGAGTGTTGTGGAGCATTATTTCATATGCTTGTTGGCTGCTTATATGTCTTCTTTTGAGAAATGTCTGTTCATTGATTTTGCCTTTTTTTTTTTTCCCGAGACGGAGTCTTGCTCTGTCACCCAGGCTGGAGTGCAGTGGCGTGATCTCAGCTCACTGCAACCTCCGCCTTCCAGGTTCAAGCAATTGTCCTGCCTCAGCCTCCCGAGTAGCTGGGATTACAGGTGCCTGCCACCATGCCCAGCTGATTTTGCCCATTTTTAATGTTTTTTATTTGCTTATTCAATTTTTTAAGTTTTATATAGATCTGGATATTAGACATTTGACAAATGCACAGTTGGCAAATATTTTCTCCCATTCTGTAAGTTGTCTGTTTACTCTGTCAGCAGTTTCTTTTGCTGTGAAGAAGCATTTTAGTTCAAATATGTACTACTTGTCAATTTTTTTTCATTGCAACTGCTTTTAAAGACTGTCATAAATTATTTCCCAAGGTTGGTGTACAGAGTTATGTTTCCTAGGTTTCCTTCTAGGGTCCTCATATTTTGAGATCTTACATTTAAATCTTTAATCCATCTTGAGTTGATTTTCATATATGGTGAAAGGTAGTAGTCCAGTTTCATTCTTTCACGTATAGCTAGCCAGCCATACCAGCATCATTTATTGATTAGTAAGTCCTTTCCTCATTTCTTGTTTTTGTCAGCTTTGTTGAAGATCAGATGGTTGTAGGTGTGTGGCTTTATTTCTAGGTTCTCTACTCTGTTCTTTTTTTCTTTGTGTCTGTTTTTGTAGCAGTACCATGCTGTTTTGGATACTGTAGCCTTGTAGTATAGTTTGAAGTCAGGTAATGTGATGCCTCTGGCTTTGCGCTTTTCGCTTAGGATTGCTTTGGCTATTCTCTTTTTTGGTTCCATAAACATTTTAAAAGAGTTTTTTTTTTTTTTATAGTTCTGTGAAAGATGACGTTGACAGTTTGATAGGAATAGTGGTGAAACTATAGATTGCTTTGGGTATTATGGCCATTTTAATAATACTGATTTTTCCAATCCATGAGCATGGGATTTTTTTTATTTGTTTGAGTCATGTATGACTTTTTAAATAGTATTTCGTAGTTCTTCTTTTAGAGATATTTTACCTCCTTGGTTATATGTACTTTTTCTTAGTAACTATTGGGAATGACATTGTATTCTTGATTTGGCTCTCAGCTTGAATGTTCTTGGTATAGAAAAATGTTGCTGATTTTTGTACATTGATTTTGCATTCTGAAACTTTACTGAAGTAATTGATCAGTTAGAGGAGGCTTTTGGAAGATTCTTTTTTTTTTTTTTTTTGAGACAGGGTCTTGCTCTGCTGCCCAGGCTGGAGTTCAGTGGCGTGATCTTGGCTCACTGCAACCTCTGCCTCCCAGGTTCAAGCGATTCTCATACCTCAGCCTCCTGAGTAGCTAGGACTACAGGTGCGTGCCACCACGCCCAGCTAATTTTTGCATTTTTAGTAGAGATGGGGTTTCCCCATGTTGGCCAGGCCAGTCTCAAACTCCTGACCTCAAGTGATCCACCTGCCTTGGCCTCCCAAAGTGCTGGATTTATGGGTGTGAGCCACCATGCCCAGCCACGGCAGAGTCTTTATGGTTTTCTAGGTGTAGAATCATATGGTTCATGAAGAAAGAAAGTCTGACTTCTTCTTTTCCTATTTGAATGTGTTTCCTTTCTTTCTCTTGCCTGATTTCTATAGCTAGTACTTTCAATAGCATCTTCAATAGAAGTGGTGAGCATGGGCATCCTGTCTTGTTCAAGTTTTCAAGGGAAATGCAACCAGATTTTGCTCATTCAATATGAGGTCGGGTGTGGATTTGTCATCAATGGTATTATTTTGAGGTATGCTTCTTCTTTGCCTAAATTCTTGAAGGTTTTTATCATGAAGGAATATTGAATTTTATTAAAAACTTTTTGGGATTCTATTGAGATTATCATATGGTTTTTGGTTTTAATTCTGCTTATGTGGTGAATCACATTTATTCATTGGTGTATGTTGAACCATGCTTGCATCCCAGGAATGAAGCATACATGATAATTGTGGTGAATTAACTTTGATGTGTTGTTGGATTCAGTTTGCTAGTATTTTTGTGAGGACATTCATGTCTATGATCAACAGGGGTAGTTGCCAGTATTTTTCTTTTTTCATTGTGTCTTCTTCACCAGGTTTTGGTAGCAGGGTGATGCTGACTTCTTAGAATGAGTTAGGAAGGAGTCTCTCATCCTTGGTTTTTTTTTGAAGTTTCAGTAAAAATGGTGACAGCTCTTCTTTGTATATCTGGTAGAATTCGGCTGTGAATCCATCTGGTCCTGGACTGTGATTGGTTGGCAGAGTTTTTTTTTAATTACTAATTTAATTTCAGAACTCAATATTGGTCTGTTCATGGTCTCAATTTCTTGCTAATTCAATCTTGGGGGATTGTGTGTTTCCAGGAATTCAGCCATGTTCTCTAGATTTTCTAGTTTGTGTGTTTAGAGATGTTCATAGCAGTCTCTGAGGATCTTTTGTTTTTCTGTGGGATCAGTTGCAATGTCACCTTTGTCATTTCTGATTGTGCTAATTTAGATCTTCTCTCTTTTTTCCTTTTTAAATATAGCTAGTGGTCTATCAATCTTGTTTATTTTTAAAAAGAAGCAGCTTTTGTTCTCCTTGATTCTTTGCATAGATTTCTGGATCTCAATGTCATTCAGTTCCACTTTGATTTTAGTTATTTATTTTCCTCTTTAAGCTTTGGGGGTTACTTTGTTCTTGTTTTTTAGTTTATCTGGGTTTTATATTAAATTTTTAATTTGAGATATTTTTAACTTTTTGAGGTAGGCATTTAGCTGTATACACTTTTCTGTTGATTCTGCTTTTGTTGCATCCCAGAGGTTGGTATGTTGTGTTTCTGTCTTCATTTATTTCAAAGAATTTTCTGATTTCTGCTTTCATTTCATTTCATTTTTTACCCAAAAATCATTCAGGAGCAAGTAGTTTAATTTTTATGTAATTGTGTGGTTTTGAGATCTATTCTTGGTATTTATTTCTATTTGTATTCCACTGTGGTCTGAGAGCACAGTTGGTATGATATGGGGTTTTCTTTTTATTAATTTATTGAGACTTGCTCTATTACCACCAAGCCTGTGGTCAGTCTTGGAGTGTGTTCTGTATGCAGGTAAATAGAATGTATATTCTATCATTGATGAATCAAGTATTCTATAGGTATCTATTATGTCCAATTGGTCAAGTGATGAATTTAAGTTTAGAAATTTGTTAGTTTTCTGCCTCAATAGTTTTACATATGTTGACAGTGGGGTGTTGAAATCCCTCACTATTATTGTGTGGCTGTCTATTTCTATTCTTAGGACTAGAAGTACTTGTTTAATGACTCTGGGTGCTCCAATGTTGAGTGCATATATATTTAGTATAGGTAAGTCTTTTTGTTGAATTCAGTTATTTATCATTATGTAATGCCCTTCTTTGTCCTTTTTTACTGTTGTTGGTTTAAAGTCTGCTTTATCTGATATAAGAATAACAACCTCTGCTTTTTTTTTTTATTTTCCATTTGCGTAGTTGCTCATTCTCAAACTTTTTATTTTGATCCTATGGGTTTCATTATGTGTGAGATTTGTCTCTTGGAGACATCAGATGGATGGGTTTTGTTCTCCTATCCAACTTGCCACACTGCATCTTTTAAGAGAGGAGTTTAGACCATTAACATTAAAGGTTCATGTTGATATGTGAAGTTCTGATTCTGTCATAAAGTTGTTAGCCCCCCAGTCTCTCCTGCCTTGAAAAGCTTATACTGGGAAATCTGCTGTTAGCCTAATGGAGTTCCCTTTATATGTGATCTGTCCTTTTTCTGTAGCTGCCTTTAAGATTTTTTTCTTTAGTGTTGACCTTTAACAGTCTAGAGACTATACACCTTGGTGATGTTCATTTTGTATAGTGATTCACAGGTGTTCTCTGGATTTCTTGTATCTAAGTATCTACCTGTCTGGCAAAATTAGGGAAATTT
The DNA here is from genome assembly GCF_000001405.40 of Homo sapiens. Lineage (NCBI taxonomy): Eukaryota > Metazoa > Chordata > Mammalia > Primates > Hominidae > Homo > Homo sapiens. Next base: position 146,706,998 of record NC_000023.11, read on the forward strand.
TCTTGAATTATTCCCTTAAGTATGTTCTCCAGGATGTTTGCTTTTTCTCCTTCTCTCTCAAGAATACCAATAGTGACTAAGGTTGGTGTCTTTATATTATGTCATACATCTCAAAGTCTTTGTTCATTTTTTAAAAAATTCTGTTTTCTTTATTTTGTCTGACTAGGTTTTTTTTTTTTTTTCCGAAAAACTGGTCTTCTAGCTCCAACATTCTTTCTTCTGCTTGATTGACTATATTGAAAAATCTTTTTAAATTGTATTTTGAAATTCCTTAAGTGAGTGTTTTAATTCCAGAAGCTCTGATTGATTTCTTTTTAGGATGTTTATCTCTTTCTTTATTGTTTGTATTGCTTTAGAAGTTTCTTTGTGTTGATTTTCCACCTTCTCTTGCACCTTGTTGAGCTTCCTTGCAGTCCTTGTTTTGATTTATTTATCTGTCAGTCATTTCTGAGCTATCTGTTGTTTTCATTTTAGTTAGGGACTATTGCTGGAGAGCTGGTGGTATTCTTCGTTGGTGTCACTACATTTAAATGTCTCATACTGCCAGAAGTTTTGTGCTGGGTCTTCCTCATCTGAAGATGCTGGCTTTTCTTATTTTCTAAATTTTGTAATTATTTTATGTTGGTGAAGTTTTTTCTTTTGTTTTCTTTCTCTGTAACATTATTGTGTTTTTTTCTTACCATTTTCCTCCATCCCTAGTCCAATCCCTAGGGAGTGCAACTATAAAAGAATGCCGGGGAGGGTGTTTTGGCTTTGCTTCTATAGTCCTATGCACTTCTTTCAGCAGATTTTATATTGGCTGTATAGTTCAGCCTACAAGTCAGTAGATGGTGCTTATGGTAAGAGTCAATGCTACTGAATGTACAGGTGATTTTTGTTTACTTGAGGAAGCCCTCTGTTGCCTCAGGCAATGGGCTGACTCTTGGAATGCACAGTCTCTGAGCTCCCTGCTTAGCCCCAGGGGGTGGGAGTCCTGATGAATGGGCTGGATGGGGCAGCTAGCCTACAGGTCCCCCAGTGGCCGGCCTAAGCACCTGCACTGAAGGAGAATTTAGTGGATGGCAAACAAGCAGCCAAAGTTGTGCCTAGTCATGGAGCTGGAAAACCTCCTCATCTTTAAGTTCTCTGCATGGGTGTGGCAGCGGTCCCCTGGTAGGGGCACCAGCTGTGGGGAGTCTGTCACTTGCAGACCTCTTACCTAGTGACGGATGAATAAAGTACACTGACACACAGATATTCTGCTCTGCCAGTCCAGCTGAGGGTCCAAGCCGCTTACAGGCTCCCTGCTGAGTCCTGTAAACAGTTGCCACTGGGCCCAGATCAGCATGTATTCAGTAAGATTAATTAACAAAAGCTTGTGTCAACACCATTAAAGGGTAAATGACATTGTGGACTTCCCAAGTAAAAAGCACTTAAGCACCTGCAGTACATCAAAGATTAGTTTTAAGATTATATGAGTAAACAAGCTAGCTAGGTAAATGACTCTGTCTCTCTTTATTACTATTTTCATTTGTTTAAAGGTAGAGGGATCAGGCCGCCTTCAGCCAGATCTATTACCGAAGTTATGCAAACTTCTCGGCCTTTCTAGAAGATTTGTGTCTATTTCTATAACTATCTCTCATATTTTTCCCACCAGCCTGATTGAATCCCAATACATGGGCATTGGATTCAGCCTAAACTCCTAATCCAGGAGAGTGGGTGCTTCAAATGCCTGGAGGTCTGCCTGGATGTAGAGTGGAGATAGCCCCTCTGCCCCAAGATCTTTGCACAGACCAAAATGCAAGCATGGCCATGCTGCCAGGTTTTCAAATAATGACTAACTTTGTATTTGCCAAGATTAAAAATGGAATCCTGCTGTCAGTCCCTGGTATGAAAAAATGTCTGCAGCCCTTTCCAGTATTTTTCCCTCACAGCATCTCCAAGTCTCTTCTCAAGTTAGCTTCAGGGCTTGGGAGAAACAATGCGCCCTCCCTTAGCCTGTGTTGCTGTGATCTCCGTAGAAAAGTGAGTCATAAACACACTGGATTAAGAAGATGTGGCACATATACACCATGGAATACTATGCAGCCATGAAAAATGATAAGTTCATGTCCTTTGTGGGGACATGGATGAAACTGGAAACCATCATTCTCAGCAAACTTTCACAGGGACAAAAAACCAAACACCGCATGTTCTCACTCATAGGTGGGAATTGAACAGTGAGAACACGTGAACACAGGAAGGGGAACATCACACACCGGGGACTGTTGTGGGGTGGGGGTAGAGGGGAAGGATAGCATTAGGAGATATGCCTAATGCTAAATGATGAGTTAATGGGTGCAGCACACCAATATGGCACATGTATACATATGTAACGAACCTGCACATTGTGCACATGTACCCTAAAACTTAAAGTATAATAATAATAAAATTAAAAAAAAAAGAAAAGTGAGTCATAGAGGGAGGCTTTCCATCTCTTTCAGGCACTCGTGTTTCACTCACTTTTATCAGTCAGATGCTGTCACAAGGGCTGTTTGCTGGCATTCTTCTCCCCAGGAACTGGATTATCCATCACAATTCTGGTGGATTCCTATTTTCTTCTTGAATTAAAACTCACAGAATTGATTTTAATGCTTTATCTTGCTATTTACAAGTGGCTGAGGCATGCTAATAGTCTCTAATCTGCCATCTTGGAATTAAAAAAACATTAAATTTTAATCTCAAATTTAATCTGGTCTTAAAGTTTTATCTCTAAATTTTTGTTGGCATTTTCAGATCACTGACACTTTTGGGGCAGACCTGTCATGATCTGAAAAAATTTAACCAGGTGTTTAGTTTATAGACAACACATAAGTGGATATTTAACAAATCTTTGTTATTTGACCCAAGCTGATAGTCCTTTCTTTTAATCCTTAAAACATATCTTTTCTCCACCTGCATTTATTGTTATACTAGTTATGCTTACTGTATCTTCTGTCTTTTACTATATCATCTGTGACAGCTTCATATAACCTTTGTAGCTATTCTAATGGTTACTATTCATACATTGTATTTAAAAATACTATACATATATATATATATATATATGTTTATGACAGAAGAAGTATCTATTTATCTCCAATCTCATTCCATGAAAGACACACTTGTTCCACACATTCTTCTTACCTCCTCTGCTACATTTGAGGTTGATCTTGGAGTTTTATTATTTAGAGTTAAGTTATCATTATTTTCTACTCAGTCATCCTACAAATGTTTGAATGTCATACTATATGCCAAGAACTGTTATAGGCACTTGGGTTACATCTATATCAAATTGGACAAAGCTCCCTGTCTTTGGAGGTTTACATTCTAGTGAAGGTAGATAGGAAATAGTAGTCATAATAACTAATATCTATGGCATGTTAGAAGGTTATAAAGTGCTATGGGAAAAGGAATAAATAAGAGCAGAGTAAGAGGGTTTGGGAATGTATAGGGCCTTGTTGAGGGCATTAATGCATTGTTAAATAGGGTGGTCAGAGTAATCATGGAAAAAGTGGCATTTGAACAAATATTTGAAGGATGTGACAGAAGTAGTCATGCAGAAATCTGGGGCAGAAGCAATCCAGGTGGTTGAACAGTGTGTGCAAATAACTTAAAGGCAAGAGAGTGCATGGCAGGACATAGAACCAGTAACAAGGCAAGTGGGGCTAGTGCAGAGTGAACAAGAAAATCATAGTAGAAGATGAAATTTAAAAGGTCACGGGGAAGTTTTGTAAGCTATTGCATAAAACCTTATTTTTAACTCAAAGTGAGATACGGAGGCAGAAAGAAAGCAGGTTTCAGCAGATTGGAAAGATAACTTGACTCACGTTTTAAGAATCACTCTAACTGCTTTGTTGAGAATAGACTGTAAGGGGGAAAGGATGGAAGTAAGGAAACCAGTATTTACTTCATTAATTCGTTGTTTTTACAAGTTGATAACACTTACTTACATTTAAATAAAAATAAGTCAAATTTTAGGATTAGTTCTGTTTAAATAGATTGAGTGCTCCTTACCAATCTTCCCATATCGTTACATTTTTATGCAAGCATTGTTTCTTAGTAATTTATCAGGTTGCTGAATTACATCTCTGGTTAATGTTTTTCATTAATGGCACAGTGATAATATATTTCTTGAGTCCTTGCATATCTTCACACATAAGTCTTTGCACATGAGCCCAATGACCAGTTGGTTATAGCACTCATTAGTTACTAACTTTACAGATTCAAAACAACTTAGACTGTATTCCACTACCTTTTAGCATATAATGTTGCTCAGGAAAATCTAAAGTCAGCCTATTTTCTTTCCTTAGGTAAACATAATTTGACTGTTTCAATATTTGTATAATTATTTCTTTAAACTTGTACTTTAGTAATATCACACAGGTGAATTCTTGGTCAACCTGTATTAAGTTTACTTGGAATACTCTCTCTCTCTCTCTCTCTCTCTGTGTGTGTGTATGTGTGTGTATACATGAAGAATTTTAAGGACATATTGCCAAGTGAAAGAAACTAGTCTGAAAAGGCTATGGATCATATGGCAACATTCATATGACATTCCATAAGTGGTAAAACTACAGAGAGAGTAAAAAAGATCAATGGTTACCAGGAGTTTTGGAAGGGAGAAAAGGCTGGACAGATGAAGAACAGAATTTTTTGGGGTGAAGATATTATTGTGTATGATACTGTAATATTGAATACATAACACTATGCATTTGTCAAAATTCATAGAACTTTATATAATGAAGAGTAAATCTTCATGTATGCAAATTAGAAAAATTATTTGGGAGGCCGGGGGAGCCTGAGATGGAATGCAGACTGTGTTGAATTAATTTACTTCTATTAGAAATATTTAAATTAACCTAACTGAAGTGGGAGAAAAGGCATTGATCTAAGTAATTTTGGCAAGGTGTAGAGATTGTAAGATTAAAGGCAAAAGAAACTATACATAATCACTCTGTTCTGTTTGGTAAAGTTGTGTCCCATAGTAATACAGGTTAACAATTCTGAAATGAATATACATGCATATTGGAATTTAGCAATTAAGTAAATAGATGGCAAGTTATATATTAGGAGCTAGGTTTCTCAGTATTGAAGTGGGAGGTTACAGACAAACAAGAAGAGAAAGCTAGAATAATCTATGTAATATTGGATTAGAGTTGGAGACATCATTACTTAGAGTCAGCTTAATCTAGATACAGATTGATACAGAAGAATTTTTTAATAAATGTGTGTATACATGGGTTAGTATACATATGCATATGCTTTTTGCTCTGTGAGCTGAGAGGGCCTAGAAGCAATGACACCCAAGTAGCAATGAAGAAACCCAGTGCCCAGAATGTGATTTCTACTAGGATTCTCCAATAAAACAAACCAAGGCTCCTGGGAGAAATGGCTGAATCCATGTCTGAGGCAAGAAATATACAGACTGATCCTCAAGCATCTTGTAGTGTCACAAAGTAAGACAGTACTTAAAAATAAAACAAAAAATGAGAGAATATTTCAAAGGGACACAGTAGTCAATTGAAAGAGCTCTCAAAAGTCAAAGCTGAAATAATTTGAGCAAAAAAAATGTAACATAATATTGGATTATAACAGAGGAAAATAGGCATCCAGAGTCCATACTGATATGAATGAATGAATGAATGAATGAGGGCAGAATACAGAATTCTCTCATGCAGAAGAATTCTAAATAATTTATGTTAATACTCCCCTCTCAAGAAGATGGAGCGAAACTCCCCACTGTGTGTTTACTGCATATAGTGACTTCCTTTCCAAGAGTATAACATGGAAAGAAGGGGAGAAAGAGTAACTTTACAGTGGAGAAAGCTGAGAAACACTACCTCAGCCAGGCGATCAATGTCAACTCAACAGTGACAGGTTATGTTGTTACGGTGTGATGAGAATGGCAGTTTATTTTTGTGGTGTTCCTCATCAGAAGAACCTCCCTTGAAGGTCATTCTGAGAAATGCCTCAACAGAATTAGTCCAAACTGTGTAGGTCATCAAAATCAAGGGAAGTCTGAAAAACTGGCATAGCCGAGGTGGAGCCAAAGAAACAAGGTGAGTAAATGTAATGTGTTTTCCTGAATGGGATCTTGGAACAGGACAATGACAGTAGGCAAAAGCAAGAAAATCTGAATAAAATATGTACTTTGACTAATCATACTGTATTAATACTGGTTCTTGAATTTTAGCATTACTATGGTAATTTTAAACATTAACAATAGGGAAAACTGTATTGAGCGTATGAGAACTTGCTGTGCTATTCATTGCAACTTTTCTACAAATCTAAAACTACGCTAAAATAATTAATTAAAATAAAACCCTGCACCAATGGCCATCTGTACAGTATGGAAGGCCTGTCCTGTTTTCTTGTTATTCAATGTGTCTTTCTCATGTGACAGAGCTAATCACATTTATGTGACGTTGGGATAAAACATTGTCCCTCAGCTTGTGGCTTTCGGTTTGTAGATGCATTTTTATTTACGTTTAAGAAATTTATCTTTGGTTATCAGCTGCAAAAAAGACTCTCAAATGTCACTTTTCATTTTTCTACCATCTACTCTCTCCCTTAAAACTCAGAGTTAGGGATTTAATGTTAAAAATTAAAATGGCTCTCTGAGACTATGTAGTTACTTTTTAAGTTCTGCTGTTACTGCCAATCTATAATTGTCAAATAGGTTTCAAAATATTGTGGTTTCCACACACCTATGTCCCCAACCACCAATGCCTCAAAATTCTTATCCCTTGTAGTGTCAAGCAATGTACTAGACTTTTGAGCAGTAATATTTTTTTCTTTCAATATGACCAAATATGGATTTTACCTGACAGTGCTCTTTGAGGTAACTTCCTGGCTTTACTGTAGATGTTTTCTTACATAGCATACCTCATTTTACTGTACTTCACTTTATTTCACATCACAAATAGTACTTTTTACAAACTGAAGGTTTGTGGCAACCTTGCATTGAGCAAGTCTATAGGTGCCTTTTTCCAACAGCCTGTGTTCACTTTGTGTCTCCGTGTTACATTTATTTTCACAGTAAGATAAACTTTTTCATTACTATTATATCTGTTATTGTGATCTGTGATCAGTGATCTTCGATCTTACTATTGTAATTGTTTCGAGATACCCTGAAACATGCCCATATACGATGAACTCAATAGATGAATGTTGTGTGTGTTCTGACTACTCCACCAGCCAACCAATTCCTGTCTCTCTCCCTCTTCTTGTGCATTCCTATTCCCTGAGACAAAAAACTACTGCAACTAGGCCAATTAATAATGCTAAAATGGACTCTAAGTGTTCAAGTGAAAAGACCATACATTTCTCATTTTAAATCAAATGCTAGAAATGGTTAAGCTTAGTGAGGAAGGCACTTTGAGAGCCAAAACAGATTAAAAGCTAGGACTTTTGTGCCAAACAGCCAAGTTGTGAATGCAAAGGAAAAGTTCTTGATGAAAATTAGAAGTGCTACTCCTGTGAGCACGTGAATGATAAGAAAGTTAAACAGCCTTATTGCTTATATGGAAAGAAGTTTTAGTGGTCTGGATAAAAGGTCAAACTAACCACAACATTCCCTTAAGCCAAAGCCTAATTTAGAGCAAAATCTTAACTCTCTTCAATTCTATGAAGGTTAAGAGAGGTGGGGGAGGTGCAGAAAAAATATTGGAGGCTAGTGGAGGTTTGTTCAAGAGGTTGAAGGAAAGAAGCCATCTACATAGTATAAAAGTGCAAGGTGAAGCTGCAAATATCGATGTAGAACCTGCAAGCAATTATCCATAAGATATAGCTGAGATAATTGATGAAGATGGCTACACTAACCAACAGATGTTCAATGTAGACAAAACAGCTTTCTATTGGGTGAATGTACCATCTAAGACTTTCATAGCTAGAAATATGTCAATTCCTGGCTTCAAAGCTTTAAAACAGTCTGTGTATTACTTTGTTTTCACACTGTTATCAAGAACTACCTGAGACTGGGTAATTTATGAAGAAAAGAAGTTCAATCGATTCATAATTCCACAGGCTTAACCAGAAGCATGACTGGGAGCCCTCAGGAAACCTACAGTCATGGTGGAAGATGAAGGAGAAGCAAGCACATCTTACCAAGGTGGAGCAGGAGACAGAGCAAAGATGTAAGTGCCACACACTTTTTTTTTTTTAGACAGAGTCTCATTGTGTCACCCAGGCTGGAGCGCAGTGGCAGGATCTCGGCTCACTGCAACCTCTGCTTCCCAGGTTCAAGAGATTCTCATGCCTCAGCCACCCGAGTAGCTGGGATTACAGGCATGAGCCACTATGCCCAGCTAATTTTTGTATTTTTTTGTGGAGACGGGTTTTCCCCATGTTGGCCAGAATAGTCTTGAATTCCTGACCTCAGGTGATCTGCCCATCTTGGCCTCCCAAAGTGCTAGGATTACAAGTGTGAGCCACTGCACCCGGCCCACACACTTTCAAACAACTAGATCTCATGAGAACTCACTATTACAAGAACAGTAAGGGGGAAGTCCACTCTAATAATTCAGCCACCTCCCACTAGGCCCCTCCCCTGACACATGGGAACTACAATTCCATATGAGATTTGGGTGGGGACACAGAGCCAAACCATATCAGGCTGACTCTCTTGTTAGGGGCTAATGCAACTGGTGACTTCCAGATGAAGGCAATTCTCATTTAACATTCCGAAAATCTGAGGGCCCTTAAGAATTATGATAAATCAACTCTACCTGTGCTCTATAAATGGAACAGCAAAGCCTGGATGACAGCACATCTGTTTACAGCATGGTTTACTGAATATTTTAAGCCCACTATTGAGACCTGCTACTAAGAAAAAATTTTTTTCAAAATATTACTGCTCATTGACAATATACCTATTCACCTATGCACCTGATAGAGATGCCAAAGTAGATTAATGTTGCTTTCATGAGTAATTTTGAGTTTCAAGTCTTATTATTTAAGAAATAACGTTTGTAAGGCTTTAGCTGCCATAGATAGTAAATCCTCTCATAGATCTGGGAAAAGTTAATTGAAAATCTTCTAGAAAATATTCAGCATTATAAATGCCATTGAGAACATCTATGAGTACTCATGTAAGGAGGTCAAAATATTAATATTAACAAAAGTTTGGAAGAAGTTGATTCAAACACTCATGGATAACGTTAAAGGGTTCAAAAGTTCAGTAGAGAAAGTAACTGTAGATGTGGTGGAAATATCAAGAGAGCTAGAATTAGGTTTGGAGCCTGAAGATGTGACTGTTATGCTGCAATCTCATGGTAAAAACATTTAAAGCTGCTAAAACAAAAAAAAAAATGTGTAGTTAAACAAAATTTTGATGGATGAGGATTTACTTCTTATGGATGAGTAAATCAAGTGGTTTATTGAGATGAAACCTACTTCAAGTGAAAATACTGTGAACATTACTGAAATGACAACAAAGGATTTATAATATCACATAAACTTAGTTGATAAAGCAGCAGTGGGGTTTGACAGGATTGACTCCAATTTTGAAAGAAGTCCTGTTATGGGTACAGTGCTATTGAACAGCATTGCATACTACAGAGAAATCTTTCATTATAGGAACAGTCAATCAATGTGACAAACATCATTGTTTTCTTATTTCAAGGAATTGCCACAGTCACCCCAATTTTCAGCAATCACCACTCTGATCAATCAGCAAGCATCAACATCAAGGCAAGGCCCTCTACCACAAAACGTTATGACTCACTGAAGGCTCATGATCATTAGCATTTTTAGTAAAAACCTATATTTAATTAAGGTACATTGATTTTTAGACATAATGCTATTGCACACTTAATAAGCTACACTATAGTGTAAATGTAACTTTTACATGCACTGGGAAATAAAAAAAAATTGTGACTTGCTTTATGAAGATATTTGTTTTACTGTGGTAATCTGAAACCAAACCTGCAATATCTCCAGAGTATACTGTATAAATTTTGTTTCTTTAAATTTGTTTTATTGTAGTTCAGGAGGATTTGGGAAAGAGTTGATTGAAAATGTGCTTACACCACAATCTTCGCCAGTTTATGGACTGTATGACATACCATTATATTGCTGTATCACAAAATATTTAAACATTCATTTAAATATAGACATTGAGACTATAAAGTTTTAAATGTTATATTTTAAATACTGTGATAATAATGTATAAATAATATAAGAAGTCCTTGAAAACAAACATTTGATGATATTTTAAGTTATTTTTAGGGTAAAAATGGAAAGTATTCTTTTTAACTCAACAATTATGCACATTTTGAGGCATTTATTTTACTTCTCTTTATTGCCATATTATTTCCAAAATGCTGTATTGCTTTAAACTCTTAGTATCTGTATTTTGAAAGTGAGTACTTTATTTATTATTAATGTTATGAAAGCAAGTTTATTAGATTTGAATGTTACATCACTGAATTGACATCCTGTGGGGTCTTCTTTGCTCTTTACGGCTTAGATGCAAATTTTTATGGTCTTTTAATATCTTTTACGCTTTCATTTGATGCTCTGAACATTGAAGTAAGTGACCTATCCACCTTAATCTTTTATGGTTTTATTGCATGTATCTCTTGCATTTTTAAGTTTATTTTCCCTTAATTTTAAATAATTGTACAAAACAAGTGATTTCTAAAATTTCCTTATTATGTAGACTCAGGATTTTTTAAGTGTGGGTGTGTTTTCTTTGTTTCTTGACCATGAAGTATTTTCAAAGGCCCCAGAGTGTTGTTTATTTCTGTTTCACTAATTTTGAAATAACAACAGTTCCATTCAGATCTATGGTTTTGCATTAGGCAATGTAGATAGTTTATCTTTGATTATTCCTCAGGTTCTACCTGGGTTCTCTTGGCATCCTTTCTATTTAATGTTATGTTGAGTTTTTGCTTGATGTACGTTGCCACTTACATTATTTCTGAAGTCTACTGTACTTTAATAATGCAGTCCTGCTAGTCTGAGGAAGAAGTATGTTATTTCCCTCTAGTGCCTATTTATCTGATTCTACAAAGCAATACTAACTTCTATGGCCCAGCTGTCTGTTTGCACAAAATTATTTTAGTACCTGGATACTTTGAAAGAGCCTATAATGTTTTCCTCAAAGAAAACCATGCAAGACATACTACAACACACAGATTGCCTCTCTTTCAGAAATTTTTCAGTGTCAACACATTTTCAGGGCAAACTTTTAACTTGACAATGCTGTGAGACATGTTTTGTATGTTCTGCTCTCTACTTCACTGATTTTCAAAGCACAAAAAGAGACAGGGAAATATTAATGGGCATGATGGAGGCTAGGAGAAGATACAGCCTTACAGCTCCTAACAAAGCAGTTCTGATATTGTGGACTTATTGTAGAGAAGTTGCCTACTTCATTGTTTGAAGAGATCCCTAGTCAATGGAATATGCATTCAATAGAATGTAACTGGAAATGTCTTTCTACCTTCTGTTACCTTGTCCTATAATTATATCTCAGTCCCCATGCCTACATTGTGGAATTTTTTTTTCTGGGTTCTGTCAGGACCTGAATTAATATTCCTGATTTGCATTTCTAATGTAACTTTAGATATTTCTATGTGCTTCTATAAATACTTCGTTTGAGATTCAGGGACCTACTTGTCACTTTTATGTGAAAGTCAAAGAAAATTATTTTAAAGTCAACACACAATGCATCAGATGAGGCCATTGCAAATGGCACCACTGTTAAAAGTATTTTCTGGACCAGAGGAAGAGAAAGTAGGTTGATGAAGAAACAAGTTTAAGACTATAGCTTTATATATAATCTTAGGATATCTAAAGAAATTTTTTTGGAACCTGGAAAAACAGAGGCAAGTTTGCCTAGGTCCCATGCAGGAACTATAATAACTCATTCTGGACCATTCAGTCATTTTTTAAGTCAATATATGTGTATCAGGATTTTACATATTGTAACTATTAACTTGTCAAAATATACTTTTATTCTCGGTTGTCATATAAAGTATCTGCTCACCAAAAACCAAAATAGTCTGTATTCTTTTGAAAAATGTCAAAGGAGAGTTCGTAAATGGCAGAACTAGAGGTGCCTGCTAAGATGGCCGAATAGGAACAGCTCCGGTCTGCAGCTCCCAGCGTGATCGACACAGAAGATGGGTGATCTCTGCATTTCCAAATGAGATACGTGGTTCATCTCATTGGGACTGGTTGGACAGTGGGTGCAGCCCATGGAGGGCGAGCCGAAGCAGGGCAGGGCTTCCGTTGCCTCACCAGGGAAGCACAAGGGGTTGGGGGATTTCCCTTTCCTAGCCAAGGGAAGTCGTGACAGATGGTACCTGGAAAATTGGGACACGCTCACCCAAATATTGTGGTTTTCCAACAGTCTTAGCAACCGGCAGACAAGATGATTCTCCCCCGTGCCTGGCTCGGCAGCTCCCATGCACACGGATCCTTGCTCACTGCTAGTGCAGCAGTCTGAGGTCCATCTGTGAGATGGCAGCCTGGCTGGGGGAGGGGCGTCTGCCATTGCTGAAGCTTGAGTAGGTAAACAAAGCAGCTGGGAAGCTCGAACTGGGTGGAACCCACCGCAGCTCAACAAGACCTACTGCCTCTGAACTCCACCTCTGTGGGCAGGGCATAGCTGAACAAAAGGCAGCAGACAACTTCTCCAGACTTAAACATCCCTGTCTGACAGCTCTGAAGAGAGCAGTGGTTCTCTCAGCACTGCATTTGAGCTCTGAGAATGGACAGACTGCCTCCTCAAGTGGGTCCCTGACCCCCGTGTAGCCTAACTGGGAGACACCTCTCAGTAGGGGCCAACAGACACCTCATATAGGCAGCTGCCCCTCTGGGACGAAGCTTTCAGTGGAAGGATCACGCAGCAATATTTGCTGTTCTGCAATATTTGCTGTTCTGCAGCCTCCACTGTTGATACCCAGGCAAAGAGGGTCTGGAGTGGAACTCCAACAAACTCCAACAGACCTGCAGCTGAGGGACCTAACTGTTAGAAGGAAAACTAACAAACAAAAAGGAATAGCATCAACATCAACAAAAAGTTCATCTACACCAAAACCCCATCTGTAGGTCACCAACATCAAAGACCAAAGGTAGATAAAAACACAAAGATGGGGAGAAACCAGAGCAGAAAAGCTGAAAATTCTAAAAATCATAGTGACTATTCTCCTACAAAGGATCGCAGCCCCTCGCCAGCAATGGAACAAAGCTGGACAGAGAATGACTTTGACGAGATGACAGAAGTAGGCTTCAGAAGATCGGTAATAACAAACTTCTCCGAGCTAAAGAAAGATGTTCGAACCCATTGCAAGGAAGCTAAAGACCTTGAAAAAAGATTAGACAAATGGCTAACTAGAACAAACAGCATAGAGAAGACCTTAAATAACCTGATGGAGCTGAAAATCATGGCTCAAGAACTTCGAAACACATAAACAAGCTTCAATAGCCAATTCGAGCAAGTGGAAGAAAGGGTATCAGTGATTGAAGATCAAATTAATGAAATAAAGCGAGAAGACAAGGTTAGAGAAAAAAGAGTAAAAAGAAATGAACAAAGCCTCCAAGGAATATGGGACTATGTGAAAAGACCAAATCTACATCTGATTGGTGTACCTGAAAGTGATGGGGAGAACAGAACCAAGTTGGAAAACACTCTTCAGGATATTATACAGGAGAACTTCCCCAACATAGCAAGGCAGGCCAACATTCAAATTCAGGAAATACAGAGAACACCATAAAGATACTCCTCGAGAAGAGCAACCCCAAGACACATAATTGTCAGATTCACCAAGGTTGAAATGAAGGAAAAAATGTTAGGGGCAGCCGGAGAGAAATGTCGAGTTACCCACAAAAGGAAGCCCATCAGACTAACAGCAGATCTCTCAGCAGAAACCCTACAAGCCAGAAGAGAGTGGGGGCCAATATTCAACGTTCTTAAAGAAAATAATTTTCAACCCAGAATTTCATATCCAGCCAAACTAAGCTTCATAAGTGAAGGAGAAATAAAATCCTTTACAGAAGAGCAAATGCTGAGAGATTTTGTCACCAGCAGGCCTGCCTTACAAGAGCTCCTGTAGGAAGCACTAAACATGGAAAGGAACAACCGGTACCAGCCACTGGAAAAACAGGCCAAATTATAAAGTTCATTGATGCTATGAAGAAACTGCATCAACTAATGGGCAAAATAACCAGCGAACATCATAATGACAGAATAAAATTCACCCATAACAATAATAACCTAATAAAGAAAAAAGAGAAGAATCAAATAGACACAATAAAAAATGATAAAGGGGATATCACCACCAATCCCAAAGAAATACAAACTACCATCAGAGAATACTATAAACACCTCTATGCAAATAAAATAGAAAATCTAGAAGAAATGGGTAAATTCCTGGACACATACACCTTCCCAAGACTAAACCAGGAAGAAGTTGAATCTCTGAATAGACCAATAACAGGTTCTGAAATTGAGGCAATAACTAATAGCCTACTAACCAAAAAAAGTCCAGGATCAGACAGATTCTCAGCCGAATTTTACCAGAGGTACTAAGAGGAGCTGGTACCATTCCTTCTAAAACTACTCTAATCAATAGAAAAAGAGGGAATCCTCCCTAACTCATTTTATGAGGCCAGCGTCATCCTGATACCAAAGCCTGGCAGAGACACAACAATAAAAGAGAATTTTAGACCAACATCCCTGGTGAACATTGATGCAAAAATCCTCAATAAAATACTGGCAAACCGAATCCAGCAGCACATCAAAAAGCTTATCCAGCAAGATGAAGTCAGCTTCATCCCTGGGATGCAAGGCTGGTTCAACATATGCAAGTCAATAAATGTAATTCATCACATGAATAGAACTGATGACAAAAACCACATGATTATCTCAATAGATGCAGAAAAGGCCTTTGACAAAATTCAACAGCCCTTCATGCTAAAAACTCTCAATAAACTAGGTATTGATAGGACGTTTTTTGAAATAATAAGAGCTCTTTATGACAGACTCACAGCCAATATCATACTGAATGGGCAAAAACTGGAAGCATTCCCTTTGAAAACCGGCACAAGACAAGTATGCCCTCTCTCACCACTCCTATTCAACATAGTGTTGGAAGTTCTGGCCAGGGCAATCAGGCAAGAGAAATAAATAAAGGGTATTCAATTAGAAAAGGAGGAAGTCAAATTGTCCCTGTTTGCAGATGACATCATTGTATATTTATAAAACACCATCGTCTCAGCCCCAAAACTCCTTAAGCTGATAAGCAACTTCAGCAAAGTCTCAGGATAAAAAAGCAATGTGCAAAAATCACAAGCATTCCTATACACCATTAACAGACAAACAGAGAGCCAAATCATGAGTAAACTCCCATTCACAATTGCTTCAAAGAGAATAAAATACCTAAGAATACAACTTACAAGGGATGTGAAGGACCTCTTCAAGGAAAACTACAAACCACTGCTCAAGGAAATAAAAGAGGACACAAACAAATGGAAGAATATTCCATGCTCATGGGTAGGAAGAATCAATATCGTGAAAATGGCCATACTGCCCAAGGTAATTTACAGATTCAATGCCATCCCCATCAAGCTACCAATGACTTTCTTCACAGAATTGGAAAAAACTACTTTAAAGTTCATATGGAACCAAAAAAGAGCCTGCATTGCCAAGACAATCTTAAGCAAAAAGAACAAAGCTGGAGGCATCATGCTACCAGACTTCAAACTATACTACAAGGCTACAGTAACCAAAACAGCATGGTACTGGTACCAAAACAGATATATAGCTCAATGGAACAGAACAGAGGCCTCAGAAATAATGCCGCATATCTACAACTATCTGATCTTTGACAAATCTGACAAAAACAAGAAATGGAGAAAGGATTCCCTATTTAATAAATGGTGCTGGGAAAACTGGCTAGCCATATGTAGAAAGCTGAAACTGGATCCCTTCCTTACCCCTTATACAAAAATTAATTCAAGATGGAATAAAGACTTAAATGTTAGACCTAAAACCATAAAAACTCTAGAAGAAAACCTAGGCAATACCATTCAAGACATAGGCATGGGCAAGGACTTCATGTCTAAAACACCAAAAGCAATGGCAACAAAAGCCAAAATAGACAAATGGGTTCTAATTAAACTAAAGAGCTTCTGCACAGCAAAAGAAACTACCATCAGAGTGAACAGGCAACCTACAGAATGGGAGAAAATTTTTGCAATCTACCCATCTGACAAAGGGCTAATATCCAGAATCTACAAAGAACTGAAACAAATTTACCAGAAAAAAACAAACAACCCCATCAAAAAGTGGGCAAAGGATATGAACAGACACTTTTCAAAAGAAGACATTTATGCAGCCAACAGACACATGAAAAAATGCTCATCATCACTGGTCATCAGAGAAATGCAAATCAAAACCACAATGAGATACCATCTCACGCCAGTTAGAATGACCATCATTAAAAAGTCAGGAAACAACAGATGCTGGAGAGGATGTGGAGAATTAGGAACGCTTTTACACTGTTGGTGGGAGCGTAAATTAGTTCAAGCATTGTGGAAGACAGTGTGGCGATTCCTCAGGGATCTAGAACTAGAATTACCATTTGACCCAGCAATCCTATTACTGGGTATATACCCAAAGGATTATAAATCATGCTGCTATAAAGACACATGCACACGTATGTTTATGGTGGCACTATTCACAATAGCAAAGACTTGGAACCAACCCAAATGTTCATTATGATAGGCTGGATTAAGAAAATGTGGCACATATTCACCATGGAATACTATGCAGCCATAAAAAAATGATGAGTTCATGTCCTTTGCAGGGACATGGATGAAGCTGGAAACCATCATTCTGAGCAAACTATCACAAGGACAGAAAACCAAACACTGCATGTTTTCATAGGTGGGAATTGAACAATGAAATCACTTGGACACAGGGCAGGGAACATCACACACTGGGGCCTGTCAGGGGCTGGAGGGCTGGGGGCAGGATAGCATTAGGAGATATACCTAATGTAAATGATGAGTTAATGGATGCAGCAAACCAACACGGCACATGTATACCTGTGTATCAAACCTGCACCTTGTACACATGTACCCTAGAACTTAAAGTATAATAATAAAAAAAAAAGTCACAGGATTGGGCCCAGTGGCTTGTATCTGTAATCCCACCACTTTGGGAGGCTGAGATGAGAGGATTGCTTGAGCCCAGGAGTTGTAGACCAGCCTGGGGAAAATAGTGAGACATCTCAAAAAAAAGGAAGGAAGGAAGGAAGAAAGGAAGAAAGGAAGAAAGGAAGGAGGGAGGGTGGGTGGGAGGGGAGTGGATTACAGTTCATCTAAAAGCAAAGTTGTAGGTAGTGTGAAAATTCTACTATTTCATGTAAACTGAAATATGTAGCTTGTAAAATTTGGTTTGGAAATTTAATTTCATACAATTTGGAAAACTCTTAAATAGAGGAGTAGATTAGCTCAACAAGGAAAGGAAATGGATTGCATTTTCATCACAGGGGCAACTGTTTATCTACTCCAGGCTGACCGCATGTTCTCCTCTTTGCCTTGAGAACAACATTCACTCTTTATTTCTCTCTTGGAAAGGATTGAGATGTTTCTGATTTTAGAGTTCTCCTTAGAGAATGGTATCATGATACTTAAAATTAACTATTATAGTGTATGTGAATTTTCAAAACAACTTTGGAAATTAAGGAAATATGAATTTAGCTGTTCTACTAGCTATATTTTAGAGACATCCACAGCATTTTATTTTAAATCACAGTATAAAACAAGCCCTAGATTTTATTTCTGATATTACAGTAATGAAGCACATGCTGGGCTTATAGGTACAGTACAATTATACATTCAGGTTTTATAAATACTGTCTATTAAAGAGGGCACACACTCAAAATCTACAAAGGGGTTACTAATTCACTTTCTCAAACATGACAGAGTAGTTTAGGATAGGAGCATATGTCATTCATTAAACTGCAATTATTGACACCCAGAGGACATCTTATACAAGTATATATAAGTGTAATCAGTAGTATATTCCACAGGTGAGTTTTATTTTACTCAATCTAAGCACCAGACTTTAGTGATGCTGCCAACTTCTCCGAGGCTGAACTTCGAGTAATGGAAATTATGGCTTTTACAGCAAACTGGTACCAGTGGCTCTCTGCAATTATCAATGAATGCAGTAACTACAAGGTAATTGTTACTCTAGGCAGGTAGAATATTTTCCCTTTGGTGATACTAAATAATCTACCCAGCTAGCTAGCTAGCTCTCTAGCAATAATTATAAATGAAGATCAAATATGTGGTTTTGAAAAATAATAAAATTATAATAGCAAATAATTCCATAGTACTTCAAGCACTATTCTAAGAAGTTTGAAAACACTAACATTTATTCTTTATAATAATGCTATGTGATAAAGGCTATTTTTATCCCTGTTACTACAGATGAGGAAACTGAATCATGGAGCAATTAATTAATTGAGTGATGGAGATAAGATCTGAGGCCAAGCACAATGGCTTGAGTTTACACTTAACTGTTTCATTGGTTGCCTCTGAAATTCTCAGTTGAAACCCAGTGACATAAATCATTGTCTAATTATGTTACCCTTTCATTATTGTTAATTATTGATATGGTTCAGCTGTGTCTCCACCTAAATCCCATCTTGAATTCCCACATGTTGTGGGAGGGACCCAGTGGGAGGTAATTGAACCATGGAGGCAGGTCTTTCTGGTGCTTTTCTCGTGATAGTAAGTCTCATGAGATCTGATGGTTATTATAAGGGGGAGTTTTCCTGCACAAGCTCTTTTCTTCTCTTGTCTGCTGTCATGTGAGACGTGCCTTTCACCTTCTCATGACTGTGAGGTCTCCTGAGCCACACGGAACTCTAAGTCGATTAAACCTCTTTCTTTTGTAAATTGCCCAGTCTTGGATATGTCTTTATCAGCAGCATAAAAACGGACCAATACAATTATAATCAAACAAATCAGATTTCTATTTCATGCAACATTTTTCATATTATTTGCACATACTATTTATTTGTCACTAAGCCTACAAATTAGGCAAGATAGGTGCTATGGTTTGAATGTCTACTCCAAAACTCAGGTGTTGCCAATGTGACAGTATTAAGAGGTGGGGTCTTTAAGAGGTAATTAAGCCATGGAATCTCCTCCCTCATGAATACAATTAAGATCTTTATAGAAGAGAATTCATGCAGCATTGGGATTTCTTGCTCACTGACTTCTACCATGTGAGGACACAGCATTTCTTCCCTTCAGAGGATGCTGCATCAATGTATTCTCTTGGAAGCAGACAGCAGCCCTCACCAGACAACCAAACCTGCAAGCAGCTTGATCTTAGACTGTCTCCAGCAGTGTGAAAAATGAATTTCTGTTCTTTATAAATTACTTAATCTGTAGTATTTTGTTACAGTAGCACAGACTAGGAAAATAGATATTATCTCCATTTACAGATGAGAATATAGAGAGTCTAAACCTCAAAATCATAAGCCATAACTTTGGTTCCATAGCGGTAGGATATTTGACACTGGATGTAGAAATAACCCATTTTATCTCATTTAATATTCTTTGGTTGACAAATATATTTACAGGTTACAATGTGATGATTTCTTATATTTATACATTGTGAAACAAATCAAATGAATTAACATTTCCATCACCTTTGATATTTATTATTTTTTGTTTTGTGGATATTTAAGATCTACTCTCTTAGCAATTTTTTTTTTTTTTTTTGGAGATGAAGTCTTGCTCTGTTGCCCAGGCTAGAGTGCAGTGGTGCAGTCTTGGGTCACTGCAACCTCTGCCTCCCAGGTTCAAGCAGTTCTCCTGCCTCAGCCTCCCAAGTAGCTGGGATTACAGGTGCTGGCCACCGCTCCTGGTTAATTTTTGTATTTTTAGTAGAGATGGGGTTTCACCATCTTGGCCAGGCTGGTCTTGAACTCCTGACCTCGTGATCCACCTGCCTCGGCCTCCCAAAGTACTGGGATCACAAGCATGAGCCACCACGCCCAGCCTCTCTTAGCAATTTTCAAGTATACAATACATAATTATAAACTAAACATACTGTACGATAGAGCCCAGAATTTATTCATAGCAACTAAAACTTTGTACCCATTGACCCATGCTCCAGCCTCTTTTAAAAATATTATTAAGATATCAAAATAATAACATATCCCATGTTTATTTGGAATTTAATGCCTAACAACCAAAAGTATCACTTGTTAATAAAGAGATTTATCTATTGTCATTTATAGAATGCTTTCATCCCACATTTTTTTCACTTTGTTCTTCATAACAACCTTATGGTGATAGGCAGGACAGATATGATGTCTTGCCTTAGGTGAAGGCAACTGAGTTAGCCAGAATTTGAACCGAGGTTTGGACATTTCACTTACCATGTCCTTACCGTAATACCTGGGTGTCTCTCTCTTCATTGCTTTCTTTCATCTTTTCCCTCGTGGAATGGAATGATGTTGCCTTTTTTACTTTGGATATTAGTATTTGAATAACTCTGGCAGAAGTTATACTGGAATTTCTGATTATATTAACTTTACATTTTAAAGTATATTACTTATAGCATATTATTTGCTCACATATCAAAGTGTCTTGTGTGTAGGTAGTGTTCATTTCATTAAATGCTTCAGTAAATGAATGAGTGAAGGACAGTTCAATTTGTTATTGTACATGCTTTTAGGCTTACACTAAGTTTTGACAGAGCTCAAGTCAGCATTTCGCTTCTATATGTGTGAAGTCTAAGTCACTTGGCCAACTTTCTCTTTTATTTCCAAGTTTGTGAATTACCTTTGTTGCTTCGCTGCAACATGCTCAGTATTTTAAAAATTGCAGTGTGCAAAATTATAAATATATTTGCGGTATCACAAAATGTCAACTACATGATGTTTTTATTAGCGTATCTAATCTCACTAAAATTAAGTTGGAAATAATGCCCATTGTTCTCGGGATTTTTTTTTTTTTTTTTTTTTTTTTTTTTTTTTTTTTTTTTTTTGTGAGGCAGAGTTTCAGTCTTGTCTCCCAGGCTGGAGTGCAATGGTCCAATCTCAGCTCACTGCAACCTCTGCCTCAAGCAATTCTTCTGCCTCAGCCTCTCAAGTAGCTGGAATTACAGGCACCCGCCACCACGCCTGGCTAATTTTTGTATTTTTCTTAGTAGAGACAGGGTTTCACCACATTGGCCAGGCTGGCCTCGAACTCCTGACCTCAGGTGATCCTCCCGTCTCGGCTTCCCAAAGTGCTGGGACTACAGGCGTGAGCCACTGCACCCAGCCCTCTCAGGAATTTTTAAAGCACTTCAAAAGTGTGGAAAGTATAAATGCTAGCAAAATGAAATATATGTGTTTCCAACCATTGTTTAATATTTATCTGTAAAGAATGACTACACCATGGCTTAAAATGAAATGCAAAAATACTTCATAGAAAATACCACTTATTTATTTATTTATTTATTTATTTATTTATGACAGCATCTCACTTTGTTGCCCAGGCTAGAGTGCAGTGGCACAATCTCAGCTCACTGCATCCTCTGCCTCCCAGGTTCAAGTGATTTTCCTGCCTCAGCCTCCGAAGTAGCTTGACTACAGGCACGCGTCACGCCGCATGGGTAATTTTTGTATTTTTAGTAGAGACGGGGTTTCACCATGTTGGCCAGCCTGGTCTTGAACTCTTGACTTCAGTTGATCCGCCTGCCTTGGCCTCCCAGAGTGCTGAGAAAATACCACAATTTTAAATAAGGTCCTTTACTGCCTGCATTTTGGGCAGAGGGCAATGTAGATTTGAATCCAAATTCCAAGAGCTTTCTTCAAAACAATCACAGAAACTGTAGCTTTATATATGTTTTAGAGGTCAATTTCTCAATGGAGTATTATTTTTGTTTAGATATAAATCATGACAAATGCTTAACCTTTAGGTAGAAGTTTAACAAATTAAAGAGCATTTCATTTCTTCATTTTTAGTTATTGTTAGGATTAAATCAGTGAGTTTGATAGATGCCAGCTTCGCTTTCTATTTGTGCTATTGCATATAAGAGATGATTAAATTTTCCTTACTATATTATTACAATTTTTATATTCTTTTCCATATTTTTTCACCAAATACTTGTTATGAGTGATGGTATTTAGGTTTTTACATCATGGCAACCTAAATAAAATACTAATTTATTGCGGACACATTTATTATTATGTGCAATATGTGTGCTAAGTACCTAAAAGGGTACTTAGCTAAAAGGCTAAAAGGCCTATGCACAGCCTAGCAGTTTCAGCATTACATTGAATGATTCTTCTACTCTATTCTGGATTTGTTATTTATCAATTTAAAAAAAAATTTAGTTACAGGTTGGGTGCAGCGGCTCTCACCTGTAATCTCAGCACTTTGGGAGGCTGAGGCAGGTGAATCACTTGAGGTCAGGAGTTTGAGACCAGCCTGGCCAACATGGCAAAACATCATCTCCACAAAAAAATAAAAAAATAAAATTAGCCAGGCTGGGTGGAGCACACCTGTAGTCCAAGCTACTTGGGAGGCTGATTCAGGAATCGATTGTACCCGGGAGGTGAGCTGAGATCATGCCACTGCACTCCAGCCTGGACGACTGTGCAAGACTGTCTCAAAGAAAAAAAAAATTAGTTATATGTATTCTCTAGCATTTTTAACAACTGTTAACTATAGTAATTTACAAACTTACATACAAGTAGAAAGTGCATGACCATCAACACATCACCTAACCATCAACTTTTATGTATCCTAATCATTTTTTTCATTGTTAAAACAAGAAACTCACACCATTAGCAGTCAACTCCCAATACCCCCACTCTTCCAGCCCCCAGCAAAAATTAATCTACTTTCTCTCACTATGGATTTGCCAATCTAAACACTGTATATAAATAGAATAATATACAGTGCCTTTTTGTCTCCTTCCTTTATGGAGCATAATGTTTTCAAGGTTCATCCATGTTATAGCATTTATTGATACTTCATTTTTTCTGACCAAATAATATTTATTGCTTTTACATATAATATTTTGTTTATCCATTCATCATTTGATGGACATATGAGTTGTTTCCACTTTTGGACTATTGTGAACAATGTTTCTATAAACATTCATGTACAAGTTTTTACATAGCTTCATATTTTCATTTCCCTTAGGTTTATACTTAAGAATAGAATTACAAGGTCATACAGTAACTCAGTGTTTAGGTTTTTGATAAATTACAACACTGTGTTACAAAGCGGCTGCGTAATTTTACATTCCCAACAGAAATATATGAGAGTTCCAATTTCCCCACATTTTTACTGAGACATTATTGTACACCATTTTGTTTATAGTCAACCTAGTAGGTGTGAAGTGATTTCTCGTGGTTTGAATTTTCTTTTCTTTTGTTTCATTTCATTTCTTTTCTTTGCTCTGCTTCTCTTCTCTTCTCTTCTCTTCTCTTCTCTTCTCTTCTCTTCTCTTCTCTTCTCTTCTCTTCTCTTCTCTTCTCTTCTCTTTCTGAGATGCAGTCTTGCTCTGTCGCCCAGGCTGGAGTGCAGTGGCACAGTCTCAGCTCACTGCACCCTCTGCCTCCCAGGTTCGAGCGATTCTCCACACCTCAGCTTCCCCGAGTAGCTGGGATTACAGGCTCCTACCACCATGCCTGGCTAATTTTTTTTTTATTATACTTTAAGTTTTAGGGTACATGTGCACAATGTGCAGGTTAGTTACATATGTATACATGTGCCATGCTAGTGCGCTGCACCCACTAACTCGTCATCTAGCATTAGGTATATCTCCCAATGCTATCCCTCCCGCCTCCCCCCACCCCACAACAGTCCCCAGAGTGTGATGTTCCCCTTCCTGTGTCCATGTGTTCTCATTGTTCAATTCCCACCTATGAGTGAGAATATGCGGTGTTTGGTTTTTTGTTCTTGCGATAGTTTACTGAGAATGATGATTTCTGTATTTTTAGTAGAGACGAGGTTTTGTCATGTTGGCCAGGCTGGTCTCGAACACCTGACCTCAGGTGATCCACCTGCCTCATCCTCCCAAAGTTCTGGGATTTCAGGTGTGAGCCACCGCACCCGGCCGAATTTTTATTTCTTTAATAACTAATGGCATTCAGCATCTTTCACGTGCTTCTTGTCCATTGTGTTTATACTAGTAGTATAGCTACTTGATATAGTTTGAGTATGTGTCGCCTTTAAATCTCATATCAAATTGTAATTCTCAATGTTGGAGGTAGGGCCTGGTGGGAGGTGATTGGATAATGGGGGCAGATTTCTCATGAATAGCTTAGCACGATCCCCTTGGTGCTGTCTTCATAATAGTGAGTTCTCCTGATATCTGCTTGTTTAAAAATGTGTAACACCTTCCCCCCACTCTCTTGTTCCAGTCCTCTGCATGTGAGACATCCATCTGCCCCCGCTTTGCCTTTCACCGTCAGTAAAAGCTTCCTGAGGCCTCCCCAGAAACTAAGAGGATGTTGGTACCATGCTTCCTATATGACCTGCAGAACCGTGAGCCAATTAAACCTATTTTCTTTATAAATTATCCAGTAGTGCATATTTCTTTATAGCAACACAAGAACAATCTAACATACCTTTCTATCTCTCTTTTTTGTGTTGTTTGCATTATATATCTTTTTCCATTCTTTTACTTTCAAACTTTTTGTGTCTTTGAATCTAATGTGTGTCTCTTATGGATATCATATATTTGGATCATGTATTTTTATCCATTCTGATAATACTTTCCTTCTAAATGTAGTGTTTAATCCATTTATATCTAATGTAAATACTGATAGATTTTATGTTGTCGTTTTGCTAATTATTTTCTTTATCTTATGTCATATTTATTCCTCTATTTTCCTGTAGTACATTCGTGTTACATAGACATTTACTAGTGTGCCA
The DNA here is from genome assembly GCF_000001405.40 of Homo sapiens. Classification (NCBI taxonomy): domain Eukaryota; kingdom Metazoa; phylum Chordata; class Mammalia; order Primates; family Hominidae; genus Homo; species Homo sapiens. The sequence goes on from NC_000023.11 coordinate 146,731,916, forward strand.
TTTTGATTACCTTACCCTTTGTTTTACTATATTTATTGAGTTATGTAGTTAGTGGTTCCCTTGGGGATTATAGATAACACATTAATTGCACAACTTGTAACAACCAATTACGTTCTTATACGGATTAATGCCAGATTCATACAAAAACCTAGCTCCGTACCCTTCCTTCTCCTTGTCCTGTTAGTGTCATATAAATTACATTTTTAAACATTGTAATCCCATCAACCCAGTTTTATAATTAGTGCCTTATGCAGTTGTATCTTCAATTATATAAGAGAAAAAGGTTCACAAATAAAAATATGTTTATACTGCCCTTTATATTTACTTATTACTTACCTTTATTAGTGTTCCTTATTTCTTTATGTGGATTCCAATTACTATATACTGGCCATTAATTTCAGCCAAAATGACTCCCTTTGGCACTTATGGAAAAGCAAGTCTGCTAGTGATGAACTATCTCAGTTTTTGTTGATCTTTGAAAGTTTTAATTTCTCTCTCCTTTTTGAGAAACAGTTGTGCCAGATATATTCTTAATTGACAGTTTTTTTTCAGAACTTTATATCATCTCACTACATTCTTAGCTTCTGTACTATCTGATGAGAAATCAGCTGCTACTCTTATCGAGGTTCTTTTGGTGAGACATAATGCTGATACTTTTAGTTAGTTTTCTGGACATGTTTTCCTTTATTTTTTAAAACGTCTATAAAATGTCTAGTTTAAAGATTTCATCTTAAAGTCCTTAATGTAAGCTTTCTTGGGGTATAGTGTTTATTGACAGCTTTCACATCCTCTCCTATTTATTGGTCACGTTTTCTATTTTTTTTTTCAGTTTATAATAGGGATATATTTATTATTCTCATGGATGTGTTGAGCGAACTAATTACAAAGAGTTACAAATTCTATACCGAGGAATCAGGAAATTACTAATGAAATTAATCGATGTCAAAAGTGTATACTTTTTTTTAAATTTTATTTTATTATTATTATACTTTCAGTTTTAGGGTACATGTGCACAATGTGCAGGTTAGTTACATATGTACACATGTGCCATGCTGGTGTGCTGCACCCATTAACTCGTCATTTAGCATTAGGTATATCTCCTAATGCTATCCCTCCCCCCTTCCCCCACCCCACAACAGTCCCCAGAGTGTGATGGTCCCCTTCCTGTGTCCATGTGTTCTCATTGTTCAATTCCCACCTATGAGTGAGAACATGCGGTGTTTGGTTTTTTGTCCTTGCGACAGTTTACTGAGAATGATGATTTCTTTATGTGTCTCTTTTTATTTTTATGAGGAGACCATGAGGGAAAACCACAGTAATAACTTAATTTACTGAAGGAATAAAATATAGACTTTTAATTTGTGTTTGATAAACACAAAGGATTATTCAATAAATTAGTTGTTTCAACAGTATTTGTAGGCTGCTGTGTGCCATGGGTAACTATACAAACCGGAGATGGAGACAAAACAAATCGCTGTCTTCAAATAACTTACATTCTAGTGGTGAGACACAACCAAGTAACTAGGTAAATTTATATCGCAAGCCAGGTGACGTAACTACTAGAGAGAAAAAAGAAGCAGGGTAAGGAGATTAGGGAATGCTTGGGATTGGGGGAGGTTAGGGAACGCTTGGGATTGGGGGAGGTTAGGGAACGCTTGGGATTGGGGGAGGTTAGGGAACGCTTGGGATTGGGGGAGGTTAGGGAACGCTTGGGATTGGGGGAGGTTAGGGAACGCTTGGGATTGGGGGAGGTTAGGGAACGCTTGGGATTGGGGGAGGTTAGGGAATGCTTGGGATTGGTTTATTTTAAAATCACACCCAGAGCGTGCCTCACTGGTAAGGTGAAATTTGAGCAGTGTCCAAAAGGAAGTGAGGATGCATAAACCTAGGAAAAATCACTCCATTTAGCCAAAACAACAAGTGCAAGTTGATGTAGTTTGGACATTTGCTGTCTTCAAATCTTCTATTAAATGTGGACCCTCTGTGTTGGAGGTAGGGCCTGGTAGAATGTGTTTCATTTATGGGGTTGATCCCTCGTGAATGTCTTGTCATTCTTGCAGCACTGAATGAGTTCTGACTTTTAGTTCCCATGAGATCTAGTTGTTAAAAAATAGCCTGGGACTTCCCTCCTCTCTCTCTCACCATATGACATACTTGCTCCCCCTTCACCTTCCTCTATGATTGGGAGCTTCCTGAGGTCCTTACCAGCAGCAGATGCCGGTGCAATGCTTCTTTTACAGCTTGCAGAATGGTGAGCCAAATAAATCTCTTTTTAAAACAAATTACCCAGACTCAGGTATTTATGTGTAGCAATGCAATATGGACTAATGTGAAAAGGTTCTGTGTTGAGAGCATTCTGGGAAAATTAGAGGAACAAGAAAGGGACTGATGGGCCAGGAATAAACTGAGCAAAAGGAAATCTTGCTAAGGAAATCTTAGCAAGGGATACCAAAGAAATACCAAGTATACACAATTCTTTTTCAAAAGAGTTTTTCACAAAAGGGAGCAGAGAAGTGGTTCAGTAGCTGGTATGAAAGTGAGGTCAAAAGAGAGTTTATTTTTAAGTTATTACAGTATAAATATCTGAAATATTGTATGCTTGTGGGAATACTTGATTGGAGAGGAAAAATTAACGATGTAGAAGAACAAAAAAATTGTAGCAAGTGAGGCTCATGATTAAGTAAGTGAAGATAGGGTATAGCATACTGCCAGGTCTGAGCAGCAGCAGGCCCTGGCCAAGTGATGGATGAAAAACTGTACGCTGACACAGGTTTTTTGCCTGGCCGAGTGGCTAGGGGACCAGGCTGCCCACAGACACCGAGGAGGGTGCTGTAAAGAGTCCCAGCAACTGCAGCCCCAACAAGCTGCTGCAGGCATTTATTTAGTACAGATTTAATGACAAAGGCTTTAAGTCAACACACTTGTGGGTTATTAACATGGTTCCACTTCCCCTGCCTCCCCAAGAGAGAGCAGTCCTGTGAGTGGATGATTAAAGGCCAGGGCAAGGTTCCAAGGCCTAAGTAACTTATCTAGGTCAATTCCTTTACACTTCTTTGTTATCCACCTTTTTCTCTGAAGCTCCAGATAAGATAATTTGGCTGCTTTTAGCCAAATTATCTTTCGAAGCTTTTGCAAAACCTCCCAGCCTTCCAAGAAGGTTTGCATTTTTCCTATAATTTCTCCCACCACCCTGACTGATCTCCTACAGTGTTCAAGGTGAGAAAGTATTACATAAGCAAAGACATTTAGAGGTATCAAATATCTTTAAGAGTGGATATGGAAAAGGTCACATATATTTATTAATTTTTAAATTCTCCTGGTTGCCAGGCATTGGAGCATGTAGACTGTGTCCTGAAAGATGAATAGGAATTTGTCATATGGAGAAACCTTGGAAAGTGTGTCCCAAGCAAAATGGACACCATGTAGAAAGACATAGAGACATGAATAAGCCTTGTGTTCTGGAGGAACTACAATCTTTGAAATATTTAAAGCAAATGCTATGAATGAGAAAATACAGGAGATATGACTATAAGAGTAGGCCATGTCACTAATAAAAGGATTTGGACACAGGAATTTTAAAAAGTACATTCTACTTGTCTTGCAGCAAAATTATGTATTAATATATGTTTCTATTTACAATCTTATGTTCTTGAACTCATCATATTTTTCCTTTATCTATCATTGCATGATTTTCATAGCATACCATTTAAGAGTATAAGTCTTAAGATGCTGTAAATACAAGTTTCAGTCTAAGTTCTATTAATACCAGTGAGAGCTGTGAGTGTCTAATTCCTCATCTGTAAAATGAGAAAAGTTATCATTTCAGGACAAGCTACATCATAGACTTATGTGGAGTCAATGAAATTATGCAGATAAAGTCTTAGGCATCACCTGGCCCATCTAGGAAGTAATAAATGAAAAGTTCTTACTATTTCTATATTTGTATTTCAGTAGCAGTAAACACATCAGTTTCATACTTAGCTTCGACACAGGCTCTTCAATGCATTCATTTCACTGGGAATCACTATTTTGTTGATTACAAAAGAAGTTATTACCACCTAAAGACCAGTAAAGCCAAGTTGCCATTCTGTAATACGCAAAATGAATGGGACTTAATGTCTTCTGTTATTCATTTAGTTCTCAGTTTGTTCATGAGTCATGGACTCACGGAGTGTAGTGTTTCTTACTGGAGTTGTAACTAGATTAATAAAATTGACATTTCAAGAAACCTGAAGAAGAAAAAAGCTTTATTTTTACAAAAAAAAATCATTGTGTTGGTAATATTTCTAATAACTTTCTAGATGCACAATTTTCAGCAAGTTTGATAGCATCAATTGTATTTATCCCCAATACAAGCAGCAGTGATATATGCTATGCTACTAAGAGCTGCCAATGTTGTGAAACTAAACACAGAAGCTAGGATTAGTATTTTGACAATTCTTGTATCAAAGTTCAACGATGATTAACCTATTAACCTAGGATGTAACTTTTACTTTGGTATTCCAACATAATAATAAATGACTGAGACATAGTCAATTTGAAATTATCAATAAAAAATGCTTTCATTTTTACATATTAGTTCTTACCTTCGCCTTTTAACCATATTATATTTACTCATGCGACTTTGAATCTTTGGGTTATGATTGTCTTATAATATTTGTCTCCTCAGTTTGCATTGAGGAAAACAAAAGTGTTGTCTAACATTGTAATATGGCTAGTTTTTCACCAAAAGTGATCTGAAGGCCGGGTGCCGTGGCTCCCACCTGTAACCCCAGCAATTTGAGAGGCTGAGGCGGGCTGATCAATTGAGGCAAGGGGTTCGAGACCATCCTGGCCAACATGGTGAAACCTCGCCTCTACTAAAAATACAAAATTTAGCTGGGTGTGGTGGTGCATGCCTGTAATCCCAGCTACTCAGGAGGCTGAGACATGAGAATCCCTTGAACCCGGGAGTCAGGGGTTGCAGTGAGCCGAGATCACACCACTGTACTCCAGCCTGGGTGACGGAGTGAGACTCTGTTTCAAAAAAAAAAGAAAAAGGATCTGAAACTAGCAATAATATACTACTATTAGATTGGTGCAAAGTGACTGTGGTTTCAACTTATTTAAATCAATATCATAATATTGCACACATTTCAAATGCCTGCTCTGCTCAGAAGGAGAATATTATCTTTGGAGGTACTTCTGAATAAAATATCAATTTTGTATTGTTAATTTTAATTTTATTCACGGTATGAAGCATTGTATACAATGTTAAGGACAGTGCTTAACATATGAGTAAAATATTTATTGACTCTAATGCTCAACATGAGATGCTGTATTCATTTATAATGCTTTGGTGATCATGTGCTGTCTTTTTAATAAATTATTTCACAATCTTGATAACTGGTGTCAAGATTACTAAGCTAAATTTGGTAAAAAATCACATTCTTCAACTGGAAAATTAGAATATCATGTCTATCTCTAACCTTCCAAAATCTCTCTTGTTTTTCTTGATTACTCAAATATCACTGTCAATTGTTAAGCAAACACTTGCATATGTTCTTTCAATCCCTTGAGACATGATTTAGTTTGGCTAGCAGATACATTTAGAACAGCGCTTGTACCATCTTATAATCTTTTTACTCATTCCTTTCTTTAATTGGTTTTCACTACAAGCAACACTATCTTGATAGAGAATACAACATTAAAATAAATTACTGAGTGTAGAAGCAGTAGGATTGAACTACTTCTGCTCTATTACTTATTTGTCATGCATCCAAACAACCACCAGCAGCAAGCCACAGAATCTTCTTTATTTGATGAATGAGATTGTCTTGGTAGATTGTGGAAAGCAAGTATAAAACAAATGTCAATGCCTGGAAATATCATTTTTAAAGAAAAGACAAAGAGCTCACTAATAAGGTGGAGAGACATCTTCAAAGTAGCAAGTACTGATAAAACTCTTGATCTTGTCACCTGGCAAAGTTTTTTTTTTTCTGTAAAAGACCAAATAGTGGGCCAGGAGTGGTGGCTCACGCCTGTGATCCCAGCACTTTGGGAGGCTGAGGTGGGCAGATCACCTGAGGTCAGGAGTTCAAGACCAGCCTGGCCAGCATGGTGAAACCTCGTCTCTACTAAAAATGCAAAATTAGCTGGGTGTGGTGGCGTGTGCCTGTAATCCTAGCTATGAGGTTGAGGCAGGAGAATCACTTGAACCCAGGAGGCAGAGGTTGCAGTGAGCTGAGATCGCACCATTGCACTCCAGCGACAAGAGTGAAACTCCATCTCGGGAAAAAAGTGAAAAATAAAAAAGAAAATAAAAAAATACAAGGCCAAATAGTGGATACTTTATGCTTTACAAGCCAGATGGTCTCTGCCACACCTATTCAACTCTGCCATTGTAGCCCAAATAAAGTCATATGTAATATAGTACAAAAATAATGGACATGGCTGTGGAAATAAAATTTTATATACAAGAATAGGTATAAGGCTTAATTTGGACCCTGGGCAGTGGTTTGTTGACCCTTTTGGTAAACCATGAATTTGTAGTGACATAGTAGAAAAAATGCTAGCTGTACCTAAATGCCTATTCTTGCTTCCTTTTTTTGTAATAGCTAGGTATGTAGTTGCCCAGAATAATTACTACATATCTCAGACGAATTTGCAATTAGGTGTGGACATGGCATGAAGCTCTTGCCTGCAGGATGTAAGTAGAAATGTCATAAGCAACTTTCTAGACATGTCAGTAAATGAACAAGGCACACCATTATTTGCCCCGCCTTCTTCCTGCTAATTGAAATGTGGACATGTTGGCTGGAGCTTAAGTGACTATCTTGAATAATAAGATTGAATTCATGGTTTTAGATTGACTTTGTGACTATTTACCTTCAGACTCATTTACGTGGAACAAAGATAAACTTGTTTATTCTATATTGTTGTTGTCATTTGGGTCACTTGAAGTTGAACATAAGGCAAACTAAACCATTCATTGTAGTGCGTCATATTTTTATTGTAAAACTCAGTATCATGAATTATGAAAGAGAGGGTAGATAGTTGGTTTGATCCAAGGTTTAGTATGTGTAAAGTAAGCATGGAGGAAGTATAACAGTAAAACTGGAAAAAGAACTTAAGAGGATATTTTTTTCTGTATGGATATGCTATCGCAAGTCAGAAAAGTTGTCTTACATTGTTCATTGTGCTTTCATGCAATTTTATTCAGTGCTCTTTGCTTCTCACTTCATCCATTCCTATTTTATATTGATATTATCTGATACTTTTCTTACCATTTTAGCTGCTTCTTTCTATTTGTATATAGGGATGAATAGGACCACTTTTCATACTATAGGCATCTCCTATGGAATGTCTTCCTGTTAAAGTTCTTCCATATAACACTGCATGACTTTTAATATCCAGACTTCATGGTATATATTTATTTCTCAATAAAACATTTCATGTTTTTTTGTGTGTGCTGTTTTTATAGGGATTTTTTATATTTACATTAAATGCAATATAATATTTTAAATGGAACTTTTAGGTTACACTCCAGATACAAATCTGTGGAATGTCAGAGCCACATATAGATATCTTAAAAACTATACTGTGTCAACAGAGGGTATCCAAGCCACAAAAGTAGATTGTGCAAAGAGAAGCCATGTTACTGCATACACTGCAACTTTGCAAAACCATTTTAGTATTTCAAAATAGTTAACAGAGTAAATTTCAAAGTATCACCACACAAAAAAAAATTGTTAAGTAAGCAAGGTGATGGACAGGTTAATTGGCTTGATTTAATTATCCACATGGTATACATATATCAAAGCATAACATTGTATTTTATAAATGCAATAAAATTATGATTTTTCTGTTAAAATAATAGCAATAATAAAAACATTTTAGTTATTTGATAATCAGAAATGTTTTAACCATTTTACATGCTACACGATAGCTCTTATTTATATATGTGCTCAGAAAGTTGATTATGAGTTTGGGTTTGATATTAAATGCATTATATTTTTCCCACTTAAAATAATGAAAAATTAACCCCCGGTGAGTGTTTTCAGGTAGAATGATTTTCAATAATGGATTACTGGTAGAAAGTCAGGGATGTCTGTTCTTGGAGGCTTTTCGCAATCATAATGCTCCCTTGAACTATGATTTTATTTAGTATCATCAGTGTTAGGTCTCCTTATCTTTCCACCTATAAACTCACTAGATATTTCAATATTTTGTAATCTTAATTTTACTGCTTCTACCCTAGCATTACTTCACCTGAAATTATCCTTTGTTTATATAATGTCCACAAAACTAGTTGAAACATGGCAAATTCGTTCAAGCTGTGGTGTGTTGGTGATTATCTGACAAATAGCTGGTTGACTTTACTTACTTTTCAAGGAAATGAGTATGTAAAAAAACAAACAAACAAATAAACCTAAAGTATTGGCAGTGCTACCAGTAGAGACCATCTCTACCATAGTTTGAGGTGCTGTGTTGTTCAACAATAACATAATTTTGTGGCCAAGACCGAAGAGAAGAACTGCTGCTAATATATCTGTCTGAGCATAGGAAATGCAACAGTATTTCTATACAGAACTCTTGTTTGTCTGAATTACTTAAGACACCTCTAAAAATGGACTGCAAATCTCAACTCCAAATGAAAAATAAAACCAGAAAAAATTTTTCTATTCAATTCTCATTTCTGTTTGTGCTGAATAACTGGTATGTATATAATAAACTATAATAAATTTCCTAGGGAGAAAATGGTCCTTAAAGTCCTATTTTTTTAGCTCACAAAATGTCCTTTACTTTCTCTCAGTTCCTTCACACTAGAATCAAATGCAAAATAAAAATCCTGATGTCTTCAGTGATTTTGAAGGCAAATAGAATGTTCATTCCTAAAAATAATTCACATAAATGCCAAAGCATAAAATCAGTCCTGAACATAGTATTTAAAGATGGCCCTATCCCACTTTTGTAAATATGAGAAAGAAGTTATCAATTTTGCTGTGGAGACTTCTTGAATAACTAGTTGGGTTGTATAACTGCTTGAAGATTGTTCCCTCAAAGAAAAAAAGGTGATATCTAGATTCAGGCTCAGTGTGCAGGCCAGTCTGAAACACAAATTAAATCATTAGAGAAATTCTTATCTGAGAGTCAGAGAATAATCTTCAAACTCCCACATGGAGAGCAAAGTGGACTTAATGGAAATTTCACTAGCATTTTTATTTTCCTAGGTGAAATTAACAATCATAATCCTGTCTTTAAAGTTACTATTATTTGAATATGAGACAACAGCAATTCTTTTTAATAATTATGACATTTAAAATAGACATAAAGATTAACATGTATTAATTTTATTTCTTTATTTCTATTTTCTTACCTTTGAGAATACAGTACTCTCCAAGGTAATCCTTAGCAGAAGACTGGGGCATTGTTGAAAATGTTATTATAAAAGAGATCATTATTGCTAGGCTGGTATTGTAAATTATCTATGGACTATCACATTTTACCTCAATCAGGGTTTTTCCTAAGACACTTTCTTTTACATTTTCTTAGGTTTTGAAAATGGTAGGCCAAATCACTGAAAATATGGTATTGTTAGACACCCTGAGAGAAAACCAACGTCATGAAACCACTACCCATGCGTTTGAAATAACATTTTTTATAGTTATGCCTATTATAATTGCAGTATTTGGCAACTGATTAGTCCCTTTGACAGCCTAAAGAATAAGTCTAAAAAGGCCATGCAAATTTGTGATCAGTAAGTCAGTGATATTTATTCAAAATTATCCCATATTGTTTTATTTCAACTGGGAATTTTGGTATTACTTGCTGTTGACTTAGCATGTAAGGTTAGAGCAGAAGTTCAGAAAGTCAAGATGCCTAGATGACTCCTAGAATACCTCAGGCTGCCAATGATGGCAGAGTATCCACCAGAGCTTCTTTGGCTGTACACACCTTCTCCACTTTTAACAAATACACTGATTTTGGTCTGAAGTCTATTTTGAATTAGTTTTTATACACGGTGTGAAGTAGGATTTGAGGTTCATGTTTTTCTCTTTCTCTAGAGAGATACCCATTTATTGAAAAAGCTACCTTTTCTCCCTTGAATTACCTTGGAACCTTTATTAAAACGCTTGTATCTATATACAGCTTGGTCTTGTTCAAAAATCCCTATTCTATTTTATTGATTAATTTATTTCTCTCTGCACCATTACCTCATTGTCTCATTTATTGTAATTTCATAGTAAGTCTTGAGATGGTATAAGTCCCCCAACTTTGGTCTTTTTCAAAAATATTTGGTTAATTTAGATACATTTTATTCTTACATAGATTTTTGGATCAACTTGTCAATTTCTAAAATAACCACTGCTGTGGTTTCTTTGCAGGGAGAGTTTGTGTAAATCTATACATCAATTTGAAACCAATTGACCTCTTATCATTTTGAGTTTTCCAATATATGAGCACATTGTACATTTCCATTTGTTTAAGTCTTCTATAATTTCTCTGAGTGATGTTTCATAGTTTTCATTGTAGAGGGTTGGCATCTCTTTTATTAAATTTATCATAAATATCTTATATTTTTATATTATTGAATAGTAGGTTTTCAAACTTTTATTTTCTATTGTGCCTTGATATTATAGAGAAGTGATGTTGCTTTTTGTACATTGACATTTCATATTGACAGATTACTAAATTCACTTATTCTAGTATCTATTGATGTAAATAATCAAGTTGTATTCAAATAATGTTTGTTTATTTCTTTGTAATTATGAGTAGCTTCTTTATTTTCCTTGCCTTACTACCCTGGCAATACCTCTAGTACAATGTTAAAGAGAAGTAATAAAAAAGATATTTTTGCCCTGGTACCGATCTGATCTCAGGAAAAAATTCATTCAATGTATATTACCACTTAATGTATTAGCTGTGGATTTTTGTGGGTAAAGGGATTGGTTAACTTTTTCTTTAAAACAACATATAATAAATATTTTAGTCTCTATCGGCTATATGAGTAGTGTGAAAGCAAACATAGATGATATGTATAAAAATGGGTATAATTGTGTTCCAATAAAACCATTACGTTTTTACAAAAACAACTTGAGAATTGAATTTGTCTAATGGTCCAACTTCTGTTCCATATTTATTAGAGGGAGTTCTATTCTTATTCATTATAGTCTTATTAAACTTTTAATATCTATAGAGCCTCTTTTATTCCTGACATTGATAGTTTAATTTTATTCTCTTTATTTTTAGTAGTTTTACTAGGGTTTAAAAAATAGCATTCATATTTTTAGAGAACCAATGCATGTCATAGTAATTTTTTCCTACTGTTGATCAATTTTATGTTTTTGGTTTTTGATTGTGTCTTTATTGTTTTCTTCATTATACTTATTTTGGCTTTAATTATATCATTTTTAGCCTCTAAAAGTGAATACCTGGATCATTGATTTTATAACTTTCTTTTCTTCTTTGTGGAGGCTAAAACAACTCCATTGGATGCTAATCCACTACATTGGTTCCTGATTAACTCCTATTTCAAGAAGGCCTCTAAGATTTCCAGTGTTATCTATTGTTCCTTGTGTAAGAGCACTTACTTTCAGTAAATCCTGCCTTTAGGTCCAACAGCTTTGATGCTATCATACTTCAGTTGTCCTACATACACTTCTAAACCACTTCTCTCTGATGATACATAAAGCCTTGGTCTGGGGGAGAAATGGCGTAAGAATCCACCAACTTGTCTCACCACCACCTGGGACACAGACCATGGTTTCTGTTCATAAGTCCCTATTAAATGTTTCTCTCTAATCAACTTGATTTGTCAGCCCTTTTCTTCAGTCTCTCAGCTTCCTCATACTTTGGGGTAGGTTTGCATAATCCTGTCCACTATGAAACATTCTGATATAGGTATGTTTAAAGCTACACATTTTCCTTTCAGTGACATTTTAGCTGTATCTTGTACCTTCAGCTGATATGTTATGTTGTAGCATATGGCTTGAAATATTTTTTAATTATTTTATGACAATGAAAGGGATATTTTTAAATGTACAGTTCAATAATATTAAGTATATTCACATTGTTATACAACCATCACCACCATCTATCACCAGAATTCTTTTTATCATGCAAGTGATATTTGTAATCATTAAATAACCTCATGTTCTCAATTCCTGCCACTGGTAAATGCCCTCTTACTTTTTGTCTCTATAAATCTGACTACCCAGGTACCTCCTATAAATGGAATTATACAGTATTTGTGTTTTCGTGACTGGCATATTTTACTTAGCATAATGTCCTAAAGGTTGATTCAAGTTGTAGCATATATCAGAAATTTCCTTTCTTTTTAAGGCTGAATGAGGTTTTATTGTATCTGTATACCACAGTTTGTTCATCTGCTTATTCATCAATGGACATTTGGATTGCCTCCAGCTTTTGCTTAATGTGCATAATGTTGCTATGAACGTGAGTGCTCGAATATCTGAGTTTCTTTTAATTCTTTTGAGTGTATATTCATAAGTGGAATTGCAGGATTATATATTGTAATAATATTTTTGCTTTTTTGAGGAATAATCATGATGTTCTCTATTTTATATTCCCATCAACAGTGAGCAAGAGTTTTAATTTCTCCACATCATTAGCAACATTAGTATTTTCTCTTTGTTTTTTTCTTTTCTGGTAATAGCCATCCAAATGAATGTGAAATGTTGCCTCCTGGCTTGATTTGCATTTTTCTAAGTAGTGATGGTGAGCATCTTTTCATGTGCTTATTGAACATTTGTATATCTTCTTTAGGGAAATACCTATTCAAGTCCTTTTCCTATTTTTAAATCTGCTTTTGTCGTTAAGTTGTAGTTACTTATATATTCAGACTAGTAACTCCTTATCGGATGTATGTCTTAAAAATATTTTCTCCTGGCCAGGCGCAGTGGCTCATGCCTGTAATCCCAGCACTTTGTGAGGCCAAGGCGGGTGGATCACGAGGTCAGGAGATCCAGCACATCCTGGCTAACATGGTGAAATCCCGTCTCTACTAAAAAAATACAAAAAAAATTAGCCGGGCCTTGTGGCGGACGCCTGTAGTCCCAGCTATTCAGGAGGCTGAGGCAGGAGAATGGCGTGAAACGGGGAGGTGGAGCTTGCAGTGAGCCAAGATCGTGCCGCTGTACTCCAGCCTGGGCGACAAGTAAGACTCTGTCTCAAAAAAAAAAAAAAATTCTCCCACTCTGAGTTGCCTTTTAACATTGTTGATTGTGTCCTTTGGTGCACAGGTTTTTTTTATTTTGATATAGTCTAATTTTATCTATTTTTTTTTGTATTGCTGTGCTTTGGATTGGTGTCATTTTTCTAACTTTCTTTTGCGTTTCCCTTGTCTTTTTGGTTATTTCAAAGTGTGTTGTGTTGGCTGGGTTCACTGGTTTATGTCATTTGAACTCAGGACTTCAAGGCCAGCCTGACCCACATGGTTAGACCCTTTCTGTACAAAAAAAAAAAAAAAAAAAAAAAAAATAGCTATTCATGGTGTCATGTGCCTGCTGCAGTAGAGGCTGAGGAGGGAAGATTGCTTACAACCAGGAGGCTGAGGCTGCAAGGAGCCATGTTCCTGCCATTGTAATCCAGCCTGGGAGAGAGAATGAGAACTTGTATCGAAAAAATTGTGCTGTATGTTAGTTTAGGCTGCTATAACAAATTACCATAGCTTGGTGGCATAAACAACAATTACCTTCCATAGTTCGGAAGGCCAGAACATACAAGATCAAGGTGGCAGCACTGATATTTAATGAGGTTTCTAATGATTTTGTTATAAATATTTTGATATTACTTTATATCAGTGAGGACTCATGGATTTCATGGCTTATCTTAAAGTTCAAATTCTTCTATATTTACTCAGTGAGTGTCTCTTCAATTTGGCTGTTATTTTTGACATGTCTATTTTTTCAGTGGCATGGTTTCTGTATTAGTCCATTCTCATGCTGCTAATAAAGACCCTGGATAACTTATAAAGGAAAGCGGCTTAATTTACTCACAGTTCAGCATGGCTGGAGAGGCCTTAGGAAATTTACAGTCATGGTGGAAGGTGAAAGGGAAACAAGGTACCAACTTCACAAGGCGACAGGAAGGAAAAGCGCAAGCAAGGGAAGTGCCGGACATTTATAAAACCATCATATCTCATGAGACTTACTCATTATCATGAGAACAGCATGGTGGAATCTGCCCCCATGATTCATTTACCTCCACCTGGTCCCACCCTTGACACATGGGGACTATGGGGATTACAGTTCAAGGTGAGATTTGGGTGGGAACACTGAGCCGAACCATATGATTCCGCAACTGGCCCCTCCCAAAACTCATGTCCTCATATTTTAAAACCAATCATGCCTTCCCAACAGTCCCTCAAAGTCTTAACTCATTTCAACGTTAACCCAAAAGTCTAAGTTCAAAGTCTCACCTGAGACAAGGCAAGTCCCTTCCACCTATGAGCCCATAAAATCAAGAACAAGTTAGTTACTTCCTAGATACAATGGGAGTATAGGCATTGGGTAAATACACCCATTCTAAATGGGAGAAATTGGCCAGAACAAAGGGGCTACAAGCCCCATGCAAGTGTAAAATCCAATAGGGCAGTCATTAAACCTTAAAGTTCTAAAATGATCTCCTTTGACTCCATGTCTCACATCTAGGTCACACTGATGCAAGGGGTATGCTCCCACAGCTCTGGGCAGCTCCACCCCTATGGCTTTGCAGTGTAGAGCCTTCCTCTTAGCTGCTTTCACGGGCTGGCATTGAGTGTCTGTGGCTTTTCCAGTCGCATGGTGCAAGCTGTTGGTGGATCTACCATTCTGGGGTCTGGAGGACAGTGGCCCTCTTCTCACAGCTCCACTAGGCAGTGTCCCAGTGGGGACTCTGTGTAGAGGCTCCACCCCACATTTTGCTTCCACACTGCCCTAGCAGAGGTTTTCCATGAGGGTTCCCCCACTGCAGCAAACTTCTACCTGGACATCCAAGTGTTTGCATGCATCCTCTGAAATCTATGCAGAGGTTCTCAAACCTCAATTATTTACTTCTGTGCACCCAGAGGCTCAAAACCACATGGAAGCTTCCAAGGCTTGGGGTTTGCACCCTCTGAAGCAATGGCCCAAGCTGTACCTTGGCCCCTTTTAGCTACAGCTGTAGCTGAAGCAGCTGGGACATAAGGTACCATGTCCTGAGGTTGTACAGAGCAGGGAGGCTCTGAGCCTGGCCCAGGAAACCATTTTTATCTCCTAGGCCTCCAGGCCTGTGATGGGAGGGGATGCTGTGAAGGTCTCTGATGTGCCCTGGGGACATTTTCCCCATTGTGATTAACATTTGGATCTCTGTTACTTATGCAAATTTGTGCAGAGGGCTTGAATTTCTCCTCAGAAAATGGGTTTTTCTTTTCTATTGCATTGACAGTCTGCAAATTTTCTGAACTTTTATGCTCTGCTTCCTCTTGAATGCTTTGCCACTTAGAAATTTATTCTGCCAGATTGTTACAATCTACCCATCTGACAAAGGGCTAATATCCAGAATCTACAAAGAACTTAAACAAATTTACAAGAAAAATCAAACAACCCCGTCAAAAAGTGGGCAAAGGATATGAACAGACGCTTCTCAAAAGAAGACATTTATGCAGCCAGCAGACACATGAAAAAATGCTCATCATCACTGGCCATCAGAGAAATGCAAATCAAAACCACAATGAGATACCGTCTCACACCATTTAGAACGGCGATCATTAAAAAGTCAGGAAACAACAGATGCTGGAGAGGATGTGGAGAAATAGGAACACTTTTACACTACTGGTGGGACTGTAAACTAGTTCAACCATTGTGGAAGACAGTGTGGCAATTCCTCAGGGATCTAGAACTAGAAATAACATTTGACCCAGCCATCCCATTACTGTGTATATATCCAAAGAATTATAAATCATGCTGCTATAAAGACACATGCACACATATGTTTATTGCGGCACTATTCACAATAGCAAAGACTTGGAACCAACCCAAATGTTCATCAATGATAGACCGGATTAAGAAAATGTGGCACATAGACACCATGGAATACTATGCAGCCATAAAAAAGGATGAGTTCATGTCCTTTATAGGGACATGGATGAAGCTGGAAACCATCATTCTGAGCAAACTATCGCAAGGACGGAAAATCAAACACTGCACGTTCTCACTCATAGGTGGGAATTCAACAATGAGAAGAGCTGGACTCGGGATGGGGAACATCACACACCAGGGACTGTTGTGGAGTGGGGGAATGGGGGAGGGATAGCATTAGGAGATATACCTAATGTTAAATGACGAGTTAATGGGTGCAGCACACCAACATGGCACATGTATACATACGTAACAAACCTACACGTTGTGGTACCCTAGAACTTAAAGTATAATAAAAAAAAAAAAAACTGCGTGTAGGAGCCAGCCATAGTTATGCCAATGAGCTTTAAAAGAGATCGATGATTCAGGTAAATAAATATTTTTTCTTCCAAAACGAAACAAAACAAACAGAAAAAAAAGAAATTTATTCTGCCAGTTACCCTAAATAATCTCTCAAGTTCAAAGTTCCACAGATCTCTAGAGCAGGGGCAAAATGCTGCCAGTCTTTTTTCTAAAGCATAGGAAGAGTCACCTTTATTCCAGTTCCCAATAAGTTTCTCACCTCCATCTGAGATGACCACAGCCTGGGCTTCATTGTCCAGATCACTATCAGCATTTTGGTGAAAAACATTCACCAAGTCTCTAGGAAGTTACAGACTTTCCCACATCTTCCTCTCTTCTTCTGAGCCCTCCAAACTGTTCCAACCTCTGTCCATTACCTAGTTCCAAAGTGGCTTCCACATTTTCAGATATCTTTATAGCAGGATCCCACTGCCTTGGTACCAATTTACTGTATTAGTCTGTTCTTACAGTGCTAATAAAGTTATACCCGAGACCGAGTAATTTCTAAAGGAAAGAGGTTTAATTGACTCACAGTTCATCATGGTTGGGGAGGCCTCAGGAAATGTACAATCATGGTGGAAGGCAAAGGGAAACCAAGGTACCTTCTTCACAATGAGACAGGAAGGAGAAGTGCAAGCAGGATAAATGCCAGATGCTTATAAAATCATCAGATCTTGTGAGACTCACTCATTATCACGAGAACAGCATGGGGGAAACTGCCCCCATGATTAAAGTACCTCCACCTGGTCCTGCCTTTGATACTTGGGGACTAGGGGGATTACAATTCAAGGTGACATTTGGGTGAGGACACAGAGCCAAATCATATCAGTGTCTGAGATTACTCAAGAGAGACTACTGGATTCAACATCTAATATGCCACAATTCCTCCAGGTGTGGCAACTCATGCCGCTCTGTACTAGTTGAGAGATCTACCAAACAGGTATCCTGCCATGTGAGAGTGTGTATGTAGTCAATTTTCATACTCTTTTGGGTTGTCACCACGCTTAGATACTCATATAGTGTACGTTTCATCCCTCGCCCACTCTGGAACCCTTATCACACATGAAACACTTTCTATCCATTCTTCACAATGCCATATTATATTCCTCGTTCACCTGACATTCCTCAAAAAAGTATACCTTGAATGCTTAATTTAGATCAGTCCATTACATTATACTCATGTGAACACCTCTATTTTATTTATATAGCCTTAACATAAATTTTAATTGTTATATGTGTGCTTATTTATTTTCTATCTCTCTCACTATATTACATGTTCCTTAAGGTTAGTAACTAGATAGGTTGTGTTTATTTCTGTATTTCTAGCAACTAGTATCTAAACACATAGTAGGCTCTCAATAAACATCTATTTAATGAATGCAAATTGTGATTTAAAGAGAAGAAAACTCAGTTTAATAACGTCCAAGACTCTCAAGTTTATTTTGTTACTAAGTTCCCATATTTTTGCTGCCTACTTGTTGCATGTATCTAGCAGAAAGCTCAGTTAAATATTACTTCATACAGCTTTCATGTCTTTTCTTGCAAAAATTGCCACTATTTGAGGTTTAGAGCGTCTGTAATACTAGGGCAATTGAAAAAAAAAACTGCACTGTGTCCATGCTAAAGACATCATATTCAAGAACTCTAAATAGTTCTGTCTTAGTGGCTGTGTTAGTTTTCTAGGGTTGCCATAACAAAATATCACAAACTGGTAGGTTAAACAACAGAAATATATTTCTTAAAGTTCTGGAGTGTGAAAATCTAAAATCAAAGTGTTGGCAGAACTGGTTTCTTCTGAGATCTCTCTCCTTGCCTTGGAGATAACTTTGTTCATATTGTGTCCTCACATGGCTTTTTCTCTGTGTTTATGCATCCTTGTTATCTCTTCCTCTTCATATAAGAACACCAGTCATATTGGATTGGGGCCACATCCCTATGAGCTCATTTATCTCTGACTACTTCTTCAAAAAAACCATGTATACATTATATTCCCATTTTTTTTTTTTTTTTGCTGTCTACTTCTTGTTCCATGTATCTAGCAAAAAACTCAGTTAAATCTCCAAATACAATTGCACTGGGGTTAGAGATTCAACATATGGATTTAAGAGTACACGATTCAGTTCATAACAGCAGCTGTCTTTGTTTTATTCAGTTTTGACACCATGCCTGCACTAAAAATTCCATATCCTGGTTTTTTGGTTAAATGAACACAAAAATCTATAACACTCGGGTGGAAGTAAAGAAACATTTAAAATTTTTTCAGCATTTTGCAATTGGTTCTTTTTTCATTTTGTTACTAAATGCAAAAAAAGGAGCCTGTATTACCATATTGATAAGAATTTCCTCAAGTATCTTCAAATATATTAAATGCAAATTTTTTTCTGTTTAGCTTATTAAAAACTTGATACAATTCACAAATAATATTAGCTAATATTTGATTTTCCCTAAAATGGTCAGATTATTTTTTAAAAATCTCATTTCCTACATCAATTGCTTCAGATATTTATTTGAATGGCATGCATTCAAAAGGTACACAGTTGGAAGCTCTGAGTACCTGCAAGATATTTTGAAAGTAATACCTGAGTTACTACCAATGTCTACAAGGTTTCCTTTTGAACTGATGATTGATTTCAAAATATACTTCAAGTATACTTCAAGACTATAGTAATCAAAATAGCATTGTACCAGCATAAAAACAGACACAGAGATTAATGCAACAGAATAGGGAGGGCAGAAATAAATCCATGCATTTAAAGTCAATTGGTCTTTAGCATAGGTACCAATAACAGACGATGGAGAAAGGGGAGACTTCAATAAAGGGTGTTGGGAGAATTGGATATTCCTATGCAATAAAAAAGACATTGACCATTATCTCACACCATATAAAAAAATTAACTCAAAATGGATTAAATACTTAAATGTTACACCTGAAAGTGTAAAACTATTAGAAGTAAACAGAGAAAAAGCTCCTTGACATTTGTCTTGGCACTGATTTTTTAGATATGATACCAAAAGCACAGGAAACAAAAGTAGCATTAGAAAATGGGATTATATCAAACTAAGAAGCTTCTGCACAGCAAAGAAAGCAACCAACAGAATGAAGAGACAAGCTATGGAACTGGAAGAACATTTTTGCAAATTGTACATCTGATAAGGGGTTAGTATCCAAAATATATAAAAATTTCAAACAACTCAATAGTAAGAAAATAAATAACTCAGTTTAAAAATAGGCAAAGAACCTGAATAGACATTCCTCAAAAGAAAACATACAAATGGCAAACAGGTATATTAAAAAAAAGAGTCCAACACCATTAATCATTAGGGAAATGAAAATTAAAACCATAATAAATTATGACTTCACACCTGCTAGAATGGCTATATCAAAAAGACAAAAGATAAAAAATGTTAGCAAGGATGTGGGAAAAAGGGAAGCCTTGTCCAATGTCAATGAGAACGTGCATTGAGTGCAACCACTGTGGAAAACAGTGTGGAAGTTCCTCTAAAAATTAAAAATAAGACGACTATATAGTCCAGCAATTTCACTTCTGAGTACACATTCAATGGAAGTGTAATTGCTGTGTTGCAGAACTGTCTACAGTCCCATATTCATTGCAATACTATTCACAATAGTCAAGGTATAGAAGCAATCTAAATGCCCATTGACAGATCAATTAAAAAGAAAATCTCATACACACACGCACACACACAGAAACAATGGTATACTATTCAGGCTCAAAAAAGAAAGCCTGTCATTTATTACAACATAGAAGAACGTAGAGGACATCATGCTTAGTGAAGTAAGCGAAGCACAGAAAGACAAATACTGCCTGACCTCACTTTTATGTGGAATCTAAAAAAGTTGAACTCATAGAAGCAGAAGGTAGAATACAGCCCCTTGCCAGGGACTGAGGATGGGGAAGAATGGGCAGATGTTGGTTAAAAAGAAACACGGGGCCAGGTAGGGTGGCTCATGCCTGTAATCCCAGCACTATGGGAGGCAGAGGTGGGCAGATTACCTGAGGTCGGGAGTTCGAGACCAGCCTGACCAACATGGAGAAACCCCGTCTCTACTAAAAAAAAAAAAAAAAAAATACAAAATTAACTGGGCATGGTGGTGCACGCCTGTAATCCCAGCTACTTGGGAGGCTGAGGCAGGAGAATAGCTTGAACCTGGGAGGCGGAGGTTGTGGTGAGTCGAGATCGCGCCATTGCACTCCATCCAGCCTGGGTAACAAGAGCGACACTCCATCTCAAGAAAAAAGAAAAAAGAAAAACAGTATTATGGCCGGGCACAGTGGCTCATGCCTGTAATCCCAGCACTTTGGGAGGCTGAGGCAGGCAGATCACTTGAGTCCAGGAGTTTGAGACCAGCCTGGGTAACATAGTGAAACCCCGTCTCTACAAGAAATACAAAAAATTAGCCAGTTGTGGTGGCACACACCTGTAATCCCAGCTACTAGGTAGACTGAGGCATGAGAATCACTTGAACCTGGGAGGCAGTAGTTGCAGTGAGCTGAGATCATGCCACTGCACCCCAGCCTGGGTGACACAGAGAGACTCTATCTCAAAAAAAAGAAAAAAGAAAGAAAAAGAAAGAAAAAAGGAAACAGTTTTAGTTAGCAGATTGAATAATTCTGAGATCTATTTTCCAGTACAATGACTATAGTTAAGAATAACATACTGTATACTTGATCATTTTTAAGAGAGTAGATCTTAAATGTTCAAATCACAAAAAATGATAAGTGAGATGATGGATATTTTAATTAGATTATTTTCATCATTTTACAAGGTATACATACGTCAAAACATCACATTGTATACCATAAATATATACAATTTTTATCTTTCTATTATACCCTAATAAAGCTGGGGGGAAAAACAAAGAAAATATTCTTAACATAAATTGTGGTGATGGTTGCAAAACATTTTGAATCTAGTTAAAAAGAAACTGTGAGACTTAAAATGGTGAATTTTATAGTTGGTAAATAATAGCTAAATAAATATGTTTTTAAAAGTTAGTCTTTAATCTTTTATTAATCCAGTTTTTATAAATGATTTTCAACTAACAAAATTTCCTCAGTATATTAAAGTCAGAGTTAGACTTATAAGTAATTGAAAACCAGAGGAAAATAAATGAAAACATATAAAGGGCTCTCCAACTTCTTGAAACTAAGAAAAGTGAGAATCTTCATCACTCATATTTTTTAAACTCTCGATTTTCTTGGCTCTAAAGATGCAAACCAAATTCCTGAAGTTCAATTATTACAGCTAAAGTTTCTCTTTCTGTCAGTCATCTCATGTCAGAAAACATCTTACGCAAAAAATAATAATAATAATAATAGCTTTCTTATGATGACAAGCATAGTTTCTACTTTTCCTAAATGGACAAGGTATTTTAAGTGATTCACGTTGTTCACTGCTTACACTGATAATTCAGTATGTGGATCTTGATTAGCTTTTACCAGGACAAAATAATGTTCTTTACTCAGGGTGAGATTTAAGCACCAACATTTAGAAAATGAGTCTTGAGTCAGTTTTATAGAATTTCTTTCATTACTTCAATTGCTTTGTCCTGATGAAGTAAATCATATTCTGTAATAAGGATTGGTACTTAATATCAAGTGTTTAAAATTTTTAGTTGTAAAATGACCCTTGAAAAATAATTTTAAGTAAAGCTTGTAACAATTAATGTTTATTAATTGTCAAAGTTGCCTAAATGTCTGCAGTTACAGACAGAAAAATATCTCCAAATCTGGAACTTACAGTTTTGCCTTTCTGTTGAGCTGATTAGCAAATGCAGCTCATGTTTACTCTCCATCTAATAGATTGAGGGTGTTTGTTTTAAATGTTTAACAAATTTCCTCAGTAACCTACTTATTTAAAAATATCTACATTTCCTCCTCTTGTTTCATGTAGACAGAACCTATGATTTTCTATCCAAGAAAGGTTTGGCTATTTTGAATGACCTTTTTCACGAACTTGAATTGTGTTCTATTCCTCTTTGTTTCTCTGTGAATGATACATAAGCTTGGGAAAATGTTGCTGGATTTCTCTGAGCATAGAATGCAGAGATTCCCAGAGTTCTCAGAGCTTGGTTACAATGCCTACTTCAGCCTGGCAGCGTGCCTAAGGGGCTGAGGGCCCAAGGCTGTTTTTGAAAGGAAAGACCTAGAGAAGCCAAGGAAGAGGAGAATCCGTCTTTAATTTAAAAGGGAGTCCAGTTTGATCAGTTACACTAGCTTACTGTGTCTACATGTGGTCACAGAATTCACTGAAAAGCTGATTGATCTGAAATAGTCAGTTTTTGCCTGGCCAATCACATTAGCCATGAAATAGATATCATTCCGTCACTATTCAAATGCATCTAATTCAGACCCATTGCAGGTTATCTTAAGGAAAATGGATTTTGAAAAGAAGGTCTTCAAGCTGCTGTGTGAAGGAAGGATGGGAGAGGAGAATCTGGGAGGCTTCTGTCTTTCCATGGCAGTTCTGTCAGTTAATAGCCTTCTCAAGCTACTTTCTGCATATGTACTGTGTCACATTCTTTTTTTTCTACCACTACTAATTAATTTTTAATGGAAGTAATAGCTTCACCTCTCAATTCAGGCCCTTAGATCACCCAGCCTAATGGCCCTGAATATGCAGTGTTTCTTTGTAAGGAATGATATTAATCCTGATTCGGAGCTTGCAGTTTGGAAAGAAAATGAAATTCTCTTTAGATTGGTTTGCTCCACTTGAATGAATAGCTGGCCTTCTCTCTTGACTGGCAATACTTCCCTGATTTGTATTTAAAACTCATTCCTCTACTTTGAGACGAATATTTCTGAAAGTTAAAAAACAGGGGTTTTTGTTAAATTTCTCAAGCACAATTTCCCTTAGCAAATTACAGAATCACAAAATGCCAAAGCTGGAAGGAAATTTTAGAAATCATTTACTCCTATCCTTGCACTGTACAGAAAAAATATAGAAATCTTCAGTGAGAAGTTGGGTTAAAATTTGAAGGTCTTGTTTAGCTTGTACTAAGAAATGTGGACTTTGTCCTGGAGGTGATCAGAGGCAGTTGAGTGTTATTGTAGTTTTTGTTTTCGTGGGAGGAGGTCAGAGTTTAGAAAGATCACTCTGGCAGCAGTTTAAAGGACAGTTTAAGGAGGGAGAAACTAAAGCTCAAGGAGAGTAGTTAAGGATCTGTTTACTATTCCTGCTAAGAGTTAATGTAGGACTAAGCTAGGACATTGTATATCAGCATGAAGACAAGAACATAGATAAGTGCTATTGAAGAGACAGTATCTGCAGGAATTTGTGAATGATTGAATGTAGTGGGAGAAGGAGAAGGAGGAGTTGGGAATTATTCATTGGTAGGCAAGCTAAATAGGCGTGCCATTCGATGTGATAAGGACTACAGCATAAGGATTGATGAAAATTTTTGGTTTTGTGAATAACAATATTAAAAACACAACAACTCAATATTATAATAATATTGAGTTGTAGAGATATGAGAAACACCATTGAGGGATGTCTAATAGTTGTGAAATTAATAGATTTCATCACTAAACACATATGATTGATATATGTTCTGATCACCTAAATTATCAAATATATTTGTCTTCATTTATTTAAGAGAGAGTGAAGTCTTAGAAGACTATTTTAATTTTCTTTCTATTATGGCCTTGAGCAAGTCATTTCAGCTCTCTGAACCTAAGTTCCTCATCTAAATGTGGAAATGATAAGACAGGCTCATCTTTCCTAAATGTAAGGCATGGGCCATATGAACTGATATGGGAAAGTATCTTGAAAACGTAAACAGTTAATACATATGCAATAAAAAGTTTATTTATTTTTGTTTATTTATTTTTTTTGAGACGGAGTCTCACTCTGTCACTCAGGCTGGAGTGCAGTGGCGCGATCTCGGCTCACTGCAAGCTCTGCCTCCCGGGTTCACGCCATTCTCCTGCCTCAGCCTCCTGAGTAGCTGGGACTACAGGCGCCCGCCACCATGCCCGGCTAAGTTTTTGCATTTTCAGTAGAGACGGGGTTTCACCGTGTTAGCCAGGATGGTCTCGATCTCCTGACCTCATGATCCGCCCTCCTCGGCCTCCCAAAGTGCTGGGATTACAGACGTGAGCCACCGCGCCTGGCCCTAGTTTCTTTTATTAGTAAGAAACTTGAGGAGGTGGAACATGTGTAATTCCTGTCACCGAAATTTGACTTTAAGGAATCTTCACATGCGTATTCTTCATGCACTGTGGAATCTCAGATGGCGTTGGCATTCTAAAGTTTTGTCTGTCAACTGGCTGTCAATGTTTCTAAGAACATCCGCACACTTTAATTGGAGTATTCAGTTATCATCTGGGAAACCACCGGGAATACTTTGACATCCAGGTGTTTCCCAGAGTGATCTGTCAACTGAAAGGAAAAAAAATAAAACAACGACAAAAAACGGAGGCAAAATTAACATAAATAGAGTGTTTTGTTAGCAGTGGAAGTTATCTGAGTTACCGGCGGTGAATTTGTACAGGTCTACAGCAATCTCACTTCTTGCCTCCTCAGAAAAAAGAATTCGACGGAGGGGCATAAGGCAGAAGAAGAGACTGAGGCAAGTTTTAGAGCAGGAGTGGAAGTTTATTAAAAGGCTTTAGAGCAGGAACAAAAGGAAGGAAAGTACACTTGGAAGACACAAACGGGCAACTTGAAGGACAAGTGCTCTGTTTGACCTTGGACTTAAAGTTTTGTATGCTGGGAAACTTCTAGCAGCTTGCATCCCATTTCTCTTGATTCTTTCCTTACAGTGAACTGCCCGCATGTGCGGTGGCATGCTAGCACTTGGGGGGTGAGTACACACAGTGTGTTTACTGGAGTTGTACACATGCTCACCTGAGGCATTCTTCCCTTTTCTGCTGGAATGCCCCTGGACAGTCATATACCAGTTAAACTCCACCATGTTGCCTCTTAATGTGTATGCTTGAGCCCACTTGCCCAGTTCCCGAGCTCTTATTAGGAAGATGCTGATCACCAGTTTCAGGTGTTTTTATCTTTTTGGAAACTGCCTTTCCCTGGAGCTGGCTGTGACTAATCATTATTTTGGACAGGCAGTGTGACAACTGCCTGATCATAACCTGATAATTGCCTGACATTGTGCTGGGGTAGGGGGAGCCCTCTCCTGCCCGGCTCATGCCTGACTAGCTATCTACTGTACCAATTTGTGCCAAATTTGAGGACTATAACACAGGATCGTAGATTCAACTTGCCCTAAATATACACTTCCATATACAGCAGTTACAAGTGGGTTTTAAAAACGAAGTGCATGGCGTGGGAAGTAAGGATAGTCCCCAAATTGTTTACTAAGAATTTACATCAAAATAGCATAAGTTATTCGTTGGCTGTACATTATTCTTTGTATCATCAATTTCAGGAAAATGAAGATAATGAATGAGGCAGCTAGTCAGAGAACAAAGTGCCTTTAAACAATTGACCCCAGGCTTAGGTGTAGGGGGCAAGACTGAAGTGTCATAATCATGTATCTCTCTGGACCTGATAAATTTTGCATACCTCACATAGCTCAGATTGCTTTGAGCTGTTTTTCTTTTCTCAGATCTATATGCCTGAGAAGGTATTTTTGCTTGGATAAGAAAAAGGGCATGAAATTTGTAATTTTGCGGGGAAACAGGTTACAACTATAAAAGTTGTTGGTCCAAACGTATATTATAGGAACCTGAGTGGTTGTAAGACTTTACAAGATAATAGGTTTGAGTGACATAAGTATTAGAAATTATTCTTACACACTTCTTAGAGAAGCCTCTTTTTCTATTTATAGTAGCTTATATTTTGACAATAGGATTAGAAGGTGATTTGAAAGATGCATTCAAATACTGGGATCATTAGTGGCTACTATGAGTAACTATATGCCAATAAATTGGAAAATCTAGAAGAAATGGACAAATTCTTGTACACATACAGACTACCAAGATTGAACCAGGAAGAAATCCAAAATCTGAGCCAACCAATAACAAGTAACAAGATTGAAGTGGTAGTAAAAGTACTCCCAGTATAGGTGGTATAGGTTTGCTATGTGTTGATTTCTTTTCCTGTAGACTCTAACTTGCAAACATGGCATAATGTTTGAGATTTATAACAGGAATACTGGAGGCCAAGATAATGAAATTTATAGATTGGTAGAGAAAAATGATCCTCTTGGAAGTCATTTTGAATTAGAAGCCCTTTATTTTTATTTTAGTTATTTAAATAAGGTTCTCTAAAACCTGGGGTAGAAAGTTCACTCTCTACAAAATGCTTAACCGGAAGCAGTGCTGGCTTCAATGCCACAAATTGGGTCTCTTGTCCTGTTTCAGATGCTCTCATGCAAATAGGCGCATCTCTTTACCACTCTGACCTTCTGCTTACTCATGTGAAAGATGATGAAGAAATTGATAAGATTATACTTGGGATTCCTTCTAGCTCTAAAATTGAGTCATATCTTCTCAGAAGTCCTAAAATCCTTTTCAGTTTGGCTTTGGAAAGGTGTTACAACAAAGTGGACAATTTTGTATAACGAGGTAAGGTTCAGCCCTGAATAAAACTAAAATTTTCTGTGTTGCATGAAATGATGGATATAAAACATTTAAATAGAGAGCTCTTTCCTAGCTACGAACTGGCATTTTCAATTACTACGTATTTAGCCATTATTGTTTTCTATCTCTTCTGTTTATCATCAGGCTGTAATTGTTAGTTGTTTTCAGGTGGCCATCCAGGCATTGTAGATATTTGATGTAACCATTTGGGGAAGAAAATTACAACCATGTAGTATTAAGGATGCCTTGAGCATTGTTATCATATTGTATTTCCAGACAAAGCCATATAGAAATGCAGTGACTAGGCTGAAACGACACAGAATGTTTCTCTACACTACATTTCTACTCAAAGCATTTCTTTACTACGTTTTCTTCAGTTTTGTTTTATTTTCGTTCACAAAGAAAGCATAGTAAGTTAATAAAGAAACACATAGACTAGTCTATCTTTCTAGCCTCTGTGGGACACTGCTTCATTAGCTGTAGTCAACATTTAAAAAAAATTATCAACACATTTCTGCTATGCATTTTTCTATTATATTGTTCTGGTCAGTAGTCAGTGTTTCTGCCTATGTTTCATTTTGCATATAGCTGTCTCATTTTACCAGCTAATTGTGAAAAAATTTAGGTTGAAATTTCCCTATTCATTACCCTTTGGTCTGTGCAATATTGACAGCAATCCTCCTGTGACCATAATATTACAGTCCAGGAATGGTGGTTAGAAATAGGAAAGAACAGCTAGAAAGCAATGTATATCATGTCCATCAACCCAGAAGAAAGAGTTTGGCCAGTGTCAGCACTATGTGAATCACTTGTGGGTGACTATCCATAGACAAAAATTACAATTAAATTGAATAAATGTAGCATACACTAAGAGTCATACCTACAGTCTGGGATCTCCTTGAGCTTACAATCTGACAGAAGTAAGACAAGTTAGTGTTTGGGGAAAATTTATTCTGTTATGGATAACATCACTAGTCTTCTGTGCTGATTTGACCGATTTCCTATCTGTTCCACCTAAGGCTGTCCCAAGACAGAGAAAGCCAACTTACAGTCAAGGGAATCTATGCAACTGCTCCACTGACCGTGCCCACTCTCCAGTTTCATAGGTAATTCAAGGTAGATTAAGACAACACAATTACAAAGGCCTCAATAAAAGACAAATTTAAAGAATTTTGAGACTGGCTTTGTGGAATAGGCAGAATTTTGACAGGCACAAATAATAATAAAGGGAGAAGGAGATCAATTTGTAAGAATGAATAACATTAGGAAATGGAAGATGGCCAAAAACTAAAGAGTAAGGAGAGATTTCTGGAAGGGGCAAGTGGTGTAATTTATTAATAGCTGCAACACTGGGAGAGGAGCGTTTGTAGTTAGAGAATGACATCATCAGTGAGCAATTTTCTGAAAAATGGAAGACAAGTAACAATATCTGATATAGTTGGTTCACGCTTCCATTGTCAGAGACAAAGAGAAGGGCCAAGTCCATGAAAATATTATCTCTATCTTTCAGGAAAGCAGAGGTAGGAGCAGAGGCAGAAGTAAGGTCAGGGTCATAGAGAGATGTGGGAGCAGAGTAAAGAAAACAAAGAACTGCATTTAATCAGCTACTGGCATTTATGACAGTGAGAGGCAGAATAGGAAAAGTTAGAGCTCAAAAATATAATAATTTGACAAATTTGTCTTCGGGTAGGTTGGAGTTCAATGAATTGATTTTTAGTACATTGGGCTGCTTCCAGTGCTCAGTGACCATAAACTATTATTTTTACTTTAACTTGTATTTATTAAGGTTGCACAATAGTGGGTCCTCTGCTCATATCCCCCAGTAGCAGCAATAATTTCACAGCCATCCATGGACAAAAGTGCCTTTGTAGGAGATTTGAGACCAAGGTAGGAGACTGCAAAATCCTGGTAGAGCCCAAGACCAAGGAGGAATGTTTAGAGAGGGCAGGCCACACACAGGTGGGAGGCTCACTGACTGTGTTCCCAGCTACAGACTTGGAAATGGCCTTGTGACCCCTGTGGTCTCTTCTATATGGTACTGCAACCATAACCATTCATCAAAGTACTTGGGAAAAGTCATGACCACCTCTTTTTTCAGTGTCTAGTCTACAAATCTCAGTCCCTGTTGTGGACTCTGAAGCAGCCCCGTAAGTTAACTCAAGCCCCTCTCAGCAGCAGAGTAGACCTGCCTCTATAGGAGTCCACCAGAAGACATATCCTTCTGTGCCCCTAGAGGCAGGACTGCCTAACTTGATCCCAGCGTAGATCTTGAAGTGGCCCTGCAACCCAGCTCCTGCGTCTGCTACCCATGGTTTAGGAAAATATTGCTTACCCAGGAACCCAGCAGGAGGCACACCTATATGTGCCCCAAGAGGAAGGCCTGCAGACTTTGGTCTTGGCTGTGAACCATGAAGCAGCCCTTTGACTTGGTTCAATTCTCTGTCATCCATAGTAGAGTGACAGTTCTGACTTCCCAGGGACACACTCAGTGGCACAGCGGGAGCCTTCCCTGGGACCTAGAATGAGCCACACCCATCTGTGCACCTGGAAATAGTCCCACCACCTGTAGATCTAAATGCGGACCCTAAAGTGGACACTTGGCCCCATATCAGCCCTACTGATCAAGGTCTTGGAGGCAATCCAGTCCATTCAGGACCAGGCGGCACCCATGCCCACTGAAGCCCCTGGTAATGAAGCCACCACATGTGGACTCCACTGTGGATCCTGTAGCAGTTAATTAGTCTGTTCTCAGCCTGCTATAAATACTTGAGACTGTCTAATTTGTAAAGAAAAGAGGTTTAATTGGCTCAGGGTTCTACAGGTTGTACAGGTAGTGGCTTCTGCTTCTAATGAGGCCTCAGGAAACTTACAATAATGGTGGAAGGTGAAGGGAAACCAGGCATGTCTTAACATGGCTGGAGCACAAGCAAAAGGGAAAGAGAAGGGGGAGGTGTCACACATTTTTAAGCAACCAGATCTCATGAGAACTTACAGTATGAGAATATACAGTAACAAGGGGGAATGGTAGTAAAACATTCATGAGAACTCCACACTCATGATCCAATTGCTTCCCACAAGGCCCCTCTTCCAACAATGGGGATTACAATTCGGCATGAGATTTGAGCAGGGGTGGGAGAGTGGGGGAAGACGGGAGGGGGGCACACAGATTTAAACCATGTTAAGCATCTGTGTGACCTGACTCCAACCCCACCCGACTGCATTTTAGGAGGTAATTCTATAAGCCAAGCGACCCAAAGCAGAAGATATTTATCTGCTGAAATCCGTCTCTACAATTTGGAAGAATTGTTTGTTCCTTCAAATGCACAGGCACATAGGTGACGAAGAATCAGGCAAACATGACAACACCAAGGAAACTCATAAAGTTCCAGTAAATGACCCTAAAGAAATCAAGGTATACAAATTTATTGAATAATAATTCAAAGCAACTATTTTAAAGAAATCAGCTTGATGCAATAAAACACAGATAGAAAACTAAATACAATTAGAAAAACAATGCATAACATACCAACATTACAGTACTAGAATATTCTACATTTGATTTATGTATTTACCATCACCAGTGAGTTTTATGCTTTTATGTGGTTTTATTATTGTTACTTAGCATCCTTTCATTTCAACTTACAGAACTCCATTTAGCATTTCTTGTAAGGAAGGCGTAGTGGTGATGAATTTTCCTGTTTTTGTTTGTCTGTGAATATCTTTATCTGTCATTCATTTCTGAAAGACATTTTTGCCGGGTATAACATCCCTGGCTGGCAGTGTTTTGCTTCTCATGTTTTGATTGTATTATTTAACTCCCCCATGGCTTGCAAGGTTTCCCTTGAGAAGTGTGCTGATAGCTTTATGTGGGGTCCCTTTTGAATGACAAGTCTCAATTCTCTTGCTGTTTTCTAGATTCTCTCTTCATGTTTGACTTTCGACAATTTGATAATAATGTGTCTTAGAGTAATCTTTAGTTTGTCTTGCTTGGGGATACTTTGCAACTCACGATTCTGGATGTACATATCCACCCCAAGATTTGGGAAGTTTTCAGTCAGCATTTATTTATATAATCTTTCTGCCACTTTCACACTCTCTTATCTTGTAACTCCCATAATTCATATATTCTTATGTTTGATAGTGTCCCATAGGTTCCTTATGCTTTCTTCACACTTTTTCATCCTTTCTTGTTTTTGTTCCTCTAATTGGCCAATTTCAAATGACCTCTTTTCAAGTTCACGAATTCTTCTGTATGATCAAGTCTACTGTTGAAACTATCTAATAAATGTTTTAGTTAATTCATGTGTTCTTCAGCTCCAAGATTTATGTCTATTTTTTATGGTTTCTATTTCTGTATTAAATTTCTAATTTTTTTCATACGTTGTCTTTCTAATTGTATTTAGTCTTCTATCTGTGTTTTATTGCATTACATTGATCTTCTTTAAAATCGTTATTTTGTATTATTATTCAGGAAATTTGTATACCTTGATTTCTTTAGGGTAATTTACTGGAGTTGCATGAGTTTCCTCAGGTGTTGTCATGTTTGCCTGATTCTTTAACATCCATGTGCCTGTGCATTTGAAGGAGCAAACAATTCTTCCAAACTGTAGACACTGATTCCAGCAGATAAGTATTTTCTGCTGTTGGGTCCCTTGGCTTATAGAATTGCCTCTTGAAATTCAGTCTAGTGGGGCTGGAACCAGGTTACGTGGCTGCTAGACATGGTTTGGATCTGTGTCCGCCGCACCCAAATATCATGTTGAATTGTAATCCCCAGTGTCAGAGGAGAAGCCTGGTGGGAAGTAATTGGATCATGGGGGTAGAGCTCTCACGAATAGTTTAGCTTCATCCTCCCTTGGTATTGTATGGGGAGTGAGTTCTCAGGAGACCTCGTTGTTTAAAATAACGTTTAACTCTAGAATAAGAGTTAAAAGACAAAAAGTATTAAAAATAAATATAGCTACAATAATTTCTTGGTGGATACATAATATAAAAAATGTAAAGTTTTACTTCAACAATGTAAAATGTGGGCTGGGTGGCGGTACAATTGTAGCATTTTTTATATGTAATTGAAGCTAAGTTGTCAACAACATAAAAGAGAATGCAATAAGTATAAGATGATTAATCTTAGCCTCATGATAACCACAAAGCAGAAAACTCTATTAGATCACAAAAGTTAAAGAGAAGGGATTCAAAGTGTAGCAGTACAAAAAATAAATCAGGAAGGAAGTCAGCAAGAGAGGAAGAAAGGAACTACAACATAGTCACAAAATAACAAAATCACAATAGTGTGTCCTTGCTAATTACTAATTAATTTATGTAAATGTACTGAATTATTCAATCAACAGAGTGCTTGAATGGATAAAAATATGAGATCTAACCATATTGTGTTGATGAAAGACTCTATGCTCAAGGACACATGTAGGCTGAAAGTGAAACAATTGAGAAAGATATTTCACATAAATGGTAACCAAGAGATCAGGTGTGGCTATACTTATATCAGACAGAATAGACTATCACTCAAAATCTGTCTTGAGAGACAAAAAAGTCCACTAGGTAATGACAAAAGGGTCAATTCATCAAGAGGATATAACAATTGTAAATTTATATATATCCAACATTGGAATACCTAAATATATATAAAACAAATATTAATGTAAGCGAAGGGAGAAATAGACAGCAATACAATAATAGTACGGAGTTTTAACACCCCACTTGCAACAATGGATAGATCATCCAGAAAGAAAATCAAAAAAGAAACATCAGACTTGAATGACACTATAGGCCAATGGACCTAACAGACATGTACAGAATATTCAATTTAACAGTAGCAGAATATATGTTCTTCTCAAGTGCAAATGGAACATTCTCCAGGATAGGTCTTATATTGCGCCACAAAAGAAGTCTTAGCAGATTTATAAAGACTTGAAGTCATTATCAAGTATCTTTTCTGACCATCATGGTATGAAACTAGAAATCAACAGCGGTAAAAATTTTAGAAAATTTACAAATAGGTAGAAATTAAATAACTCACCCCTGAACAACCAAAGGGTTAAAGAAGAAGTCAAAAGGGAAATCAGAATGTATCCTGAGAAAAACTAAAATGGAAACACAACATAGCAAAACTTATGGGATGCAGTAAGATCAGCCCTGATAGGGAAGTTTATAACTATAAATGCCTAATAAAGGAAAAAAATCAAATAAACAACCTAACTTTATACTCCAAGAAAATAGAAAAAGAAGAACAAATTAAAACTAAAGTTATCTGAAGGTATACATACAAAAGAATATTATTCAGCCATAAATAAGAAGGAGGTCCTGCCATTTGTGACAACATGGATAAACCTGGAAGACATTATGCTAAGTGAAATAAGCCAGACAGAGAAATACAGACATTGCATGATCGTTCTTATATGTAGAATCTTAAAAAATTGTTTGCCTAGAAGCAGAGAGTAGAAAGATATTTGCCAGGAGCTGGGATGGGGAAATTGGGGATATGTACATCACAAACACTGAGTTATAAGATGAATATGTTCACGGAATCTAATATATAGCATCGTGACTACAGTTATAACACTGTATTTTTTACTTGAAGTTTTCTCAAAGAGTAAAATCGAAGTGTCTTCAACACACACAAAAACGCACACATACACAAAATAAAACACAAAATAGTAACTACGTGAGATTTTTCTGTGTTAATTCCTTTTATTGTCGTATAATCATTTTATAATCTACATGTATATTCACAACATCACATTGTACACCTTGAATATATACAATTGTTACTTACCAATTATAGCTCAATAAAGCTGAAAAAATAATTTACATTTAGCGATGCTTAAGTTTAAACTTCATTTTAATTAACTTTTTCTTGATCACGTTTTTTCAAATTGCAAATGAAATATGTACTTTTTGTTACAAGTGAAATAACATAATAGATCCCGATAGCTCCACCCACAACCCATGTTAACCACTCTACTTTCCTCCATGTTCATATAAAATACATATACATGTACACACACTTAATACTAATAGACATATACACAGTTTTTTGGGTTGTTTCATGCTTTTAAACTTTGGATCATGTATGTGTCTTTACATCTTTGTTTTTCTTACTCAGGAAAGCCTCATAAAATCTTGAGTCAACTTATAGAGCTCTAATTTATTATTTATAAAATTCTGCATAATAGCCCATGGTGTTGGTGTATGCTAAATCATTTGAATTATGTCTCCGTTTTGTGGAGTGGACAGTCTTCAAGCTTTGTGACACCATGTGCAACGTTCTAGTGAATTGTTTTGTGTATTTAGGTATTGGGACTTTTATTTCCATGTGAACAGGATTATTAGTATCTTTGTTTCTTATTTTTTACTAGATACACGTATGTATTACTTCTGCAATTTGCAAAACATCTAAAAGATGCATATTTTCATTTAAAATATTATTCCACACCACTGGAGTCTTAAATTGGGTTCCTGAGAAGCAGACTCTAGAGAGAAACTTGCATTCAGGAGGTTTCTTGGATATTCCATTAAGAATCAACACCTGCAAGGGAGGGGAAAAGGATTGAATAGAGGGAGAAGGTTAACTGTGATGCAGGTGCCACAGATTTTCCATCTGATTCAACAAGAAGCTCTGGAGTTTGTCCAGAGCTTCACAGTTGTCCAGAATTGAGGCAGAGGAGCTGGGCCTTCATAGCCCTGCACTGACCAATCATTGTACGTAGCTGCCCTTGGGGAAGAGATATAACCTTGAGCAAAGCAACTCCTTTAGATCAAGGGCAAGGCCCAGAAAAGATCACAGCTGTGAGCCGTTAGCAGTCAACACTCCTGGCAGCTGGGGAATTAAGTGGCTGAGTCCTGAAGCGGTATCTAGGCAGTACATCACAGCATTCACTACAACCAGTAATTAAAAATTCAAATGAAAACAAAAAATAATACCTAAAATGTACTGAATGCTAGAAGCATACCAATTTGTCAAAAATCAATTTGTTAGAAGCCAATTTTTCAAATGACCAATTTGTCAAGTTACTGAGGATTACTAGGTCAAAGGGTGAGTGTCTCTTTTTCTTTTAAAAGATGATGCCAGATTGGTTTCCCACATAGCTGTATGACATTCACTTCCATCCGCAATGTGAGAGAACCAGTTTATCTTATTTTGCTGCCAGCATTTCTGATAACTATTTTGAAGAGTAAGTGAGTCAAGGAGTGTATCTAGGTATAAAGCAGTAGGGAATGGCCTAACCTCTGGAAAACTGGGAATTGCATACCTAATTAAAAGACTTTGAAATTCAGTTATTTAGAAGACTGCAATGTTGGACAAGCAAAATAGATCTTCAGGACTTTCCTCAAGAGCTGATAGTTTGGGACCCCCTGTTTTAAAAAGAGTATATATTGTGAAATAGAAAATTCCATAGCTAAGCGAATAGAGACTTTCCTTGTTTTATAACAAAGAGATAGCAAGAATGTTTAAGGCAGTCACCTATGATGTTTGTTTTAATTTGGGGCAAGATTAGGTATCAGAGAGTTTTCAGATCTTATGATGAACCAATATCTTAATTAAAAACATTTTCGGCCAGGCGCAGTGGCCCATGCCTGAATCCCAGCACTTTGGGAGGCCGAGGCGGGCAGATCACCTGAGGTCAGGAGTTCGAGACCAGCCCGACCAACATGGAGAAACTCGGTCTCTGCTAAAAATACAAAATTAGCCAGGCGTGGTGGTGCATGCCTGTAATCCCAGCTACTCCGGAGGCTGAGGCAGGAGAATTGCTTGAACCTGGGAGGCAGAGGTTGCGGTGAGCCGAGATCATGTCATTGAACTCCAGCCTGGGCAACAAGAGTGAAACTACATCTCGAAAACAAACAAACAATCAAACAAAAAACATGTTTTCTAGGCCAGCATGGTGGCTGATGCCTGTAATCTCAACACACTGGGGGGCTGAAGTGGGAGGATCACATGAAGCCAGGAGTTCAAGACCAGCCTGGACAACAGGGAGAAATCCCGTTTCTACTAAAAATAAAAAAAATTAGCCAGGCATGGTGTCACGTGCCAGTAATCCCAGCTACTCGGGAGGCTGAGGCACCAGAATCACTTGAACCCGGGAGGTGAGGTTTCAGTGAGCCAAGATCACACCACTACACTCCAGCCTGGGCAACAGTGAGACTCTGTCTCAAAAAAACCACCAAAACAAAACATGTTTCCTCAAAAATCTATGGAACAGATATATTTTGTGGTTAAAAAAGCACTTTCTGTTGATCTAAGATGTATTAAAATTACATCTTTAGCACTCTTGAATTATACAAATTCATGCAATATCAACTTCTCTGCTCACTAATTGCTTTGTTTTTCAAATGGGAATTCACTGAATGCCTACTATATTTTAACCACTATGCTAGGACTTGGGATTCAATAGTGAACTGGGGAGGCATGGAGCTTACATACTAGTGGGAGAGACATAGAAATAACCAAACAAGATAACAAAAGAATAATTTCAAGTTGGAATAAATGCTATGAAGAAAATGGCAAAAAGATTGAGAGACAGCATGTGAAAATTTAGCATGTTACATTCTGCTAGGGGAAACAGGTGGGTGAAAAAAGATACTAGGGAAAGGGGGCCCGAGTAGGAGAGCAAGGGAAAGAGAATAGACTCTGAGGCCCATCTCTGCTCTGTCATTGACTGGTTTCATAACCTTGGACAAGCCATTTTACAGCTTCCTGGCTGGACTTTCTTATTTGTGAAGTGACATTACTGGAATCTACCTGAAAAAGTTGTGAAAAGTAGATGAATTATAAAATGGAAAGACTATAGAATGCTGCTGGGCACGTAGTACAATTAACTTTCATGATTATAACTTGCACAGTTGATGTATGAATTCACAGGCTCACCAGCTGAAAATGAAAGTGTGAAATGAAAGATGAGCAAGGCAACATTTTAAAGAGACTGCAAGTATTTGTTATAAAAGAACAGTGCTTTCTGCAGTTCCATCTACCATTGTCCTTCTTATACTTTGTGCGATAGAAATAACAGAGTAAAATTTCTAGGTCCCACACTGCTGTATCATGCCTGGGCCTGGAATGCTCTCCTTGTTTCACTTTTATCACCTCTGACCTCGTGAATCACCTTTCCAATTTGAGGTCAGATACCACCACCTCCAAGAAGCCATGTCTGTCTCTCCCTCCTCTCAGACAGCATATCAGATCTCTCTCTGTATAAGATCTACACATTGCATATTATGGAATTCTGTGTTCTGACACCGTGTTCCCATCTGTTTCCGTGGCTCTTTCTCGTAAGAACTGTGAGTATCTCAATGACAAGGATTCTGTGTCACACTCATCTTCTCATCTCCAAAATTTAACATGGTGATTCATGTATAGTAGGTTTTCAATAATTATTTGTTGAATGAATGAGTGCATAAATGAATATTTTTATTGACATCATTCATAATTTTAGCGGACTTTCAACAATTGCACAGATGCACAGATGAATTAGTGCTACAATAAATAAATAGGCAAGCAGTAAAATTGGCTATGAGGAATAGTAGTAGCACCATTAATCGCTAGTTTTTTGTACATACTGTATTTAATCTGCTTAACAGCCCTATTAGATAACTCCAATTATTATCCATATTTTCAGAAGTAATGAATATGAGGCTCAAAGGGGTTAAGCTGCTTGTGCCAGATTATATAGCTAATAAACCATGTATTGCTTTGTATACTACTTGAGCTTTCACTAGCTAGAGTGGTACTGTTTTGGAACCATGATATTTGAAATAGGTTATGACAAAATAATGATAGAAACATTTTAACATGTTATGATTAAGTAATTTTGGGAAACACTGCATCTTCCTCTTGAGGATGCACATTAAAAACTTCAGAAGTCCTGAAATAAAGAATTCAATTGCTTTTCTGAACATAGCTTAGCTTAACTGATGACAGAGCTTTATTTTTTTTCACAGGACAACAATTGTTATTCAAAAAAGATACAGAGGAATATACTTTGAGAATTTCTCACTAATATGTGGAAACAAAACAGAAAATTTAGTCTCATATAATCGTGTATAAAATATACTGAGTCTATTTAGTTCCTAAACTCTATTCTAGAGTCAAGATTGTTTCTACTAACTGAACTTGTTTAGATAAGACTATGGCAGTATAAGGCCAGGCTATAAGCAAGGAGGAGATGACACTTTACATAAAAGTCTTGCGTAAAATTATCTGTGCACTGCTGTCTGCAAAATGTTAAGACATATGTAAAGAGACAAATAATGCTTACCACATTATCTATGTGTCTGATGAAAATGACAATACAGTATTTAGGGTAAGATATGCCCCTATCAGAAAAATAAACTTATGTAGCTTTTTAGCATATACTTTTTTTTTAATTGAAAAGCTGCTATATATTATTGTAAAGAACTTAACTGTATTTTAGGTTGCACGTACATAGGACAAATGACAGAAATAATTGATGATCATTTAGAAAAATTCCATTAATGAAGAGAGTAAATCTGTGAAAATAATGTCATTTGGAGACCTTTCGAATTCCCGGCTAACCATCTTTGTATTGAATGTTGCCACATGATGTCAGTGCCTGGGTCTAGTGGTATAATTGTGTTGGCATCAAGTGCTACTACTTGGCCTCGAACTAGGGAGGAAAGATTAGGTGTGGGCATTACATGGAAGTGAAATGTTTGCACCAAGTGAAGGTCAAATTATATTATGGCATGGTGTATAATTTAAGATTTGAAAATGTCTGGACAATAGAAAAATTGTGGGAAGAATGGAATCATCACACAGTCCTTGGTATCATAGGCATACAAAGCCCAAAGATGGAGGCCAGTCAGTGCCATATTCATTTCATGTGGTACTCTCGTTTTCGTAGATATTATGATTTTGTTGTTATTTAATTATACTTCTGTTTTACGGTATGATGAGAGCTATGACAATGAAGACAACTAATTTGCACCTAGTTTTATATTCGTATACACTTAAGCAACATTCTAATTAAAACAATTGTCATCACTGAGAATCTGACCTACTCTAATTGGTTATGGTTTTCTAAATAGAAAATGATGAGCAATGTAAATCTTGTAACTCAGTTGTCCTCAAGTGGGAAAATATGGAAATGGGTGAAGGCATGGTAGTTGTCACAAAGCCTGGGCACTGCTCCAGTCAACTACCATGATTTATAGGAAAGTGGCCAGGATGCTAAATGATCTGCGAGCGCTCAAAATTGACTTGAACAACTAAGAATTGTCTTGCCAACAATGTCTATTGTACTAATGTTTAAGTCCTATTGATAATACTAGGGTTTTTTTTTTTTTTGGATTGACTCCCACCTTATTTGCGTCACTGTAATGTTTGAGGCAAATTTGAGCCGAGCTCTAGCAATTGCCCTGTGCCATAGGATCCATATGTGTGCATGCTCATCTACCTCCTTGCTTTAATATTTTCCCATTCTCTTTCCTCTTCATTTAGAATTATTTACTTATTTACATCCAATCTCATTCCATAAAGGATGTGAGTGTGTTTGTGTATGTGTCTATACACACCTGATTGAGCAACTGTCTAAATTGGACAGGAAGTATTTGGTTTATATTTGTTTATATTTGTTTACTATTGTTTCATTTCTTTACACAATATGTTTTTCGCCTATATTTGTATCTCCAATAGATTATAACATCTTTTAATCTTTCACAACACCACATAGTCCAGGGTTTCTTTTTATTTCCATACAGTACACATTTCTTAACCTTTTTTAGCCTCAATTTTATCATCTGTCAAATGGAGAAAAGGCACATACCTTGTGAGTTTGTTGTAAGGTTTAAATGAGAAATAAGAAAGGGCATAGTTTAAGTTAGTGACTACCACATAGTAAGTGGTTAAGATTTAGCTATATAAAGCTATTTGCATTTTTTTCAATGAATCCCTGCAAATCTGTGATAGTTCCATTAGAAAAATAATCAACACTTTAGAGCTGAACAGGAATATAAACTTATTGCTACAGTGGAGCAAATTGGAGCCCAGAAAGAGAAGTCACTCTTGTCCAGTACTGGACAGTTCTAGGAAGTTTTCTTATTTTCACTTGAATGTTTTCCCATTCTATCCCCCTTGAACCCTGGAAGCTAATAAAAAGGTTAAGGAATGGGGTGACAACAGAGCTAATAATCTCTTTAAATAATAAAATTATTTAAAGTTTAAATGAGTTGAGAAAACAGGATGACAAAAGAATATTTATTTCTAAATGACAACCACATTTGTTTTGTTTGTGTTTTTTTAAAATCAGAATAAAAAATCCTCTGTGAGATTTAAACGTCCACTATAATGTGAACGGTAGTAAGCTGATTGCCAGAATATACTTTGATCACCTATCTTACTCACTGGTAGTTTTGACCAAGAAAATGGGTTTTTATTTAGGTTTTTTAAGGGCATGTTACTGCCACTTCCCCAGAAACATATTGAAAATACTTGCCATGAATCTCTGAAGCAGGCATGTTGTATTACCAATCTGGTTTTTATATGCTGGTTATCACATTGAGACATGCTTTCACTTACCTTTCAATTTTAAAAAGGCCGGTGATACTTACACATCCAAGTGGACATAATTCTTTTATCCTTTATAAATTTCCTATGGCAAACTGTGTTTCTTTTTAAAACTATTTATTGAGGTATAATGCATATACAAAAATTGCAAATATGTAATATATACAATTTGATGTTTGGACATATGCATGAAACAGTGAAACCATCACTGCAATCAAGGTAATAAATAGCCTTTAAAAAAATAAGAAAACTGTGTTACCCCTTGAAATTGCCTTTTTTGATATGCCAACAGCAGTGGCCAAATAGCCAGGACATTTTCAGCTCTGTGTCACCAAATTTATTTTGCTTTTGGACAGTTTGACCTACCCTTGAACTTGTCTATGTCATGCTGCCCAACTTATTTCCTATGTTTCAACACTATCATTAAGAAGCTCATTTTTTTTTTAGATTAACTGGAACCCTTGAAAAAGATTTCATGTTGCTTCTTCTGTGGTTTTTCTCATTTGATAGCAATGAAAATGAGATAAAGGAAAGACAAAAGTGAGATTCCAATATAAAACAATACCTTAGCTTTTTCTCATTTCCATTTTTCTTTGAAATGTATTTGTAGTTTGTATCTGTGGAAGGCCTTTTTCATTACATGATGCATAAACATGAAGAATGTGTAGTGATATGCATGCTGCTTGTGTCTGGGCTGCTCTTTATGCTTATATTTTCTTGCCCTTGGCAAGAAATAAAAAGTGATTTTGCAGTTTTCTTCACTGCTTTTTTATGAGTATAAAATATTTACTCATAATATTTTTCATAGATCTTTTAGTAATGTGGTTGTCAGATTAAAACCTTTCCTCTCTGGGTTGTTGATTTTATGGTAACAACCAGAAGGTGAGTAATTTCAATCACTTGACAACATATTAGGATTAAAGCAAAAATAAGTAGGATCTTTGCATGTCTTCAAATATGCATCGTATACCAAATAAAGCAGGATCAATGAAAGTCTTGATAAATATCTGCTGTTTTTTATCTACCAAATTTCTGTTGGAGTTCCTTAAGTTGTTAGAAAAAATCTAAACGCAGAGGCTGCCACCTGCTATTGCCCATGGTACAGGCAACCCAAAGCAAATGCCAAGAGTTTTATTGAGTTCTTTTCTCAATTTGTTATTGCATCTGATCTCATTCATTGCAATAGATGTCACATGATGCAGACAGACAGAGCAAGGTGAATGAAACAGATTCCAAATGGCAAAATGGACATTTTATTGTGTTTGTATTTATTTTCTGAAGTAGAATGAGTACTAAAGCAGTCTAGAATTGATATAAAGCATCCTCAAGTGTGATTGGCCAGGGTGTGCTTACTGCTTTGACTGTTTTATTAGTACCAAGTGGTGGAAACACTAGGGAGACATTCCCATCTTCCCAACAAGTGGAAACTTAATTATCACAGTGTCCTTTGCGCTAAATATTTCCTTTACTAATCTTTTGTATTCTGCTTGGGTCCTCAACATTGGTTGTGTCATCAGAATTCACTTAACAGTTGCATTGTTCGTCATCCCCCTTTTTGGTGAATGGCCACTCACTGTTACCCAAACTCTGCAGTTCAGTGGTTATCAATCACATCAAATAAGGCCATGCCTGATGTAAGCCTGATGAACAATCTCTATAGCATAAAGAGCCAAGAATATATTAGAGTGATTCTATAGATGATATAATTGTTCAAGTATACCGGAAGAATTAAAAATGATGTTAAAAACAGAAGCACTATGGAAAGAGAAAAAGATGACCTTTTAGCTTCACAGATGAGATGGACACCCAGTGGTTGCATTCTTGGTGTATGTGTCCGTTTTTACACTGCTCTAAAGATATTACCAAGACTGGGTAATTTACAAAGGAAAGAAGTTTAATTGACTCACAGTTCCACATGTCTGGGGAAGTGTCAGGAAACTTACAATCATGGAGAATGAGGAAGCAAGCATCTTCCTCAAAAGGCAGCAGAAGAGAGAAGAATGAGGAGCACAGGGGGAAGAGCCCCTTATAAAACCATCAGATCTCATGAGAACTCACTCACTATCATGAGAACAGCATGGGGGAAACTGCCCCCATGATCCCATCACCTTCCACTTGGTCTCAACACAGGAAGATTATGGAGATTACAACTCAAGATGAGATTTGGGTAAGGACACAGAACCAAACCATATCCCTTGGTGACATGAAGTACTGTGTTCTGAATTTCAAGTGAAAATTCTCTGGAGACACTGGGTGTGTGCTTCCAATGTTTAATTCAAATATTACTCATATACCTTTGTGGAAAGGGAGAACCGTATTGGGTATATTTTATGTAATCTTGGGAAACTTGGGGGACTAGAGTGAGGAATAGGCCTCCTATTCTTGAGGGTTTATATAAAATGCACAATTACATCAGTGACTCAAACCCATAGTATAAATACTGATGGGAGGAACAACAGCCATTATGTTTTCTTCTCCACTCAAACAGGAAAGATCAAATCTCTATCATGTTGTGTATTGCGTATAGGCCTATAAATTCAACTCCTACATTATACTAACTATTCAGATTCACAAAAAGTAAGACAAAAAGAGATTGGTCTCTGTCATTTCTATGAAGGACTAAATCTCTACTCATCTCACAAATGTGTCAGAGAAGAATAGATGGTACTATTGGATAGCACAGTGCAAATCCATCTTCGTTGTTGAAAAATATCGTAAATGTTTCTGAGAACAGCTTTGATTAGCAAATGGATTAGCAAATGCAATCCCTTATCATTGGTATCATAGGAACCGCCATAGGAAGAGAATGGTAAATGGCTAGAAAGTGCAGAGTTCCAGGAAAGCTTTTCCCAGATCATGAAAACCATCAATATGCTAGTACAACACAGAGGAAAGAGGATGGGTGTTGGTGTCTGAGGTAGAAAGAAATGAAGTAGGATTGTGTTCCGGATTTGGCTTTTAGCTTGGCTGTTGTTGGTGTTTAGGAATTCTAGTGAAGTTTGTATGTTGATTTTGTGTCCTGAAACTTTGCTGAAGTTGTTTATCAGCTGAAGGCACTTTGGGGCCAAGACTATGGGGTTTTGTATATATATAGAATCATGTCATCTGCAAACAGGGATAATTTGATTTCTTCTCTTCCTGTTTGGATGCCCTAATTTCTTCCTCTTCCCTGATTGCTCTGGCCAGGACTTCCAAAACTATGTTGGAATGGTGAGATAGTGTATTCTTGTCTTGTGCTGGTTTTCAAGGGGAATACTTCCAGCTTTCATCCTTTCAGTATGATGTTGTTTGTGGGTTTGTCATAGATGGCTCTTATTATTTTGAGGTATAATCCTTTAACACCTAGTTTATTGAGAGTTTTTAAATGAAGGAATGCGAAATTTTATCAAAAGACTTTTCTGCATCTAGTGAGATCATCATGTGGTGATTCTCTTTAGTTCTGTTTCTGTGATGAATCACATTTACTGATTTG
Organism: Homo sapiens; assembly: GCF_000001405.40. Classification (NCBI taxonomy): domain Eukaryota; kingdom Metazoa; phylum Chordata; class Mammalia; order Primates; family Hominidae; genus Homo; species Homo sapiens. The sequence continues at coordinate 146,775,932 of NC_000023.11, forward strand.
CATATGTTGAATCAATTTTGGATCCCATGGATAAAGCCCACTTGATTCTGATGGATTATCTTTTTGATGTGCTTCTAGATTCAGTTTGCAAGTATTCCGTTGAGGATTTTTGTATCAATGTTCATCAAGGATATTGGCCTAAACTTTTGTTATGTTTTGTCTCCACCACGTTTTTGTACCAGGATGATGCTGGTCTCATGGAATGAGTTGTGGGGGAGCCACTTCTCCTCAAATTTTTTTTATAATAGTTTCAGTAGGAATGGTTCTAGCTCTTCTTTTTACATCTGGTAGAATTTGGCTGTGTATCTCTCTGACCCTGGGCTTTTATTGATTTTAGGCTATTTACTACTGATTCAATTTCAGGGTTAATTATCGATCTGGTCAGGGAATCATTTTCTTCCTGGTTCAGTCTTGGGAGGGTGTATGTGTCCAGGAATATACCCATGTCTTCTAGGTTTTCTGGTTTACATGCGTAGTGGTATTCAGAATCTCTGATGCTTGTTTTTATTTCTGTGGGACTAGTGGTAACGTTCCTTTTTTGTTTCTTATTGCATTTATTTGCTTATTCTCTCTTTTCTTCTTTATTAATATCTGATATGGTTTATCTCTGTGTTCCCACCCAAATCTCATGTCTAATTGTATTCCTGACATGTTGGGCGAGGAGCCTGGTGGCAGGTGACTGAATCATGGGGGCAAATTTTCCCCTTGATGCTCTCATGATAGTGAGTTCTCAGGAGATCTCATCATTTAAAAGTGTGTGGCACTTCCCCCTTCTCCCTGCCACCATGTGATTCCAAGTTTCCTGAGGTCACCCAAGCCATGCAGAACTAACTGTGAGTCAATTAAACCTCTTTTCTTCATCAATTACCTAGTCTCAGGTAGATGTAAATCCATCTTCATTGTTGAAAAATATCTTAAATGCATCTGACAACAGCTTTGATTAGCAAATGGATTAGCAAATGGCAATTCCTTATTGTTGGTATCATAGGAACCGCCATAGGGAGAGAATGGTAAATGGCTAGAAAGTGCAGTCACAGAAAAGCTTTTCCCAGACCATGAAAGCCATCAATATGCTAGTACAACACAGATGAAAGAGGAGAGGTGTTGCTGTCTGGGGTAGAAAGAAATGAAGTAGGATTGTGTTCCCGATTTGGCTCTTGGCTTGGCTGCTGTTGGTGTGTAGGAATGCTAGTGAAGTTTGTGTGTTGATTTTGTGTCCTGAAACGTTTGCAGTGTGCAAATGGACTAATACAATATATTACTTAATTTTTCAAAAAAAAAAACCTCTGGACTTGTTGGTCTGTTGAATGGTTTTTTGTGTCTTCATCGTTGTCAGTTCAGCTTGGTTATTTCTTGTCTTCTGCTAGCTTTGGGGTTGGTTTGTTTTTGGTTCTCTAGTTCTTTTACTTGTGATGTAAGGTTTTCAATTTAAGATATTTCTGCTTTTTTGATGTGGACATTGCCCAAAAGAATAACATACCTAGGAATATAGCTAACCAAGTAGTTCTAAAATCTCTGCAATGATAATTTAAAAACACTGCTCAAAAAAATCACAGAAGACACAAACAAGTGGAAAAACATTTCATGCTCATAGACAGGAAAAAATACTATCATTAAAATGGCCATACTGCCCAAAGCAATTTACAGATTCAATGCAATGCCTATCAAACTACCAATGGCATTTTTCACAGAACTAGAAAAACCGATTTTAAAATTCACATGGAACCAAAAAAGTGGCTGAAGAGCCAAAGCAATCCTAAGCAAAAAGAACAAAGCTGGAGACATCATGTTACCTAACTTCAAACTATAATACAAGGCTACAGTAACCAAAGCAGCATGATACTGGTACATAAACAGACACATAGACCAATGGAACAGAATAGAGAACCCAGAAGTTTGGCAACACAGCTACAACCTTCTGATCTTTGAGAAAGCTGACAAAAACAAGAATGAGGAAGGGATTCCTTATTCAATAAATGGTGCTAGGTAACTGGCTAGCTATATGCAGAACATTGAAACTGAACCCCTTCCTATATCATATGCAAAAATCAACTCAAGATGTATTAAACACTTAAATGTAAAGCCCAAAACTATAAAAACCCTGTAAGATAACCTAGGCAAAACCATTTTGCACATAGGAACTAGCAAACATCTCATAGCAAAGATGCCAAAAGCAATACCAACAAAAGCAAAAATTGACAAATGGGATCTAATTAAATTTAAGAGATTCTGTACAGCAAATGAAACTATCAACAGAGTAAACAGACAACCTACAGATTGCAGGAAAATTTTTGCAAACTATGCATCTGACGAAAGTTGCATATCCAGCCTCTATAAGGAACTTAAATAAATTTTCAAGAAAAAAACCATTTTAAAAAGTGGGCAAAAAATATGAATGGACGCTTTTCAAAACAAGACATATGTGTAGCAAAGAAGCATATGAAAAACAGCTCAATATCACTGATTATTAGAAAAAATGCAAGTCAAAACCACAATGACATACCATCTCCCACCATCTTTGGAGATACATACTACCTCCCACCATCTTTGGAGATACATACCATCTCCCAAGAATGGCCATTATTAGAAAGTTAAAAAACAATAGATGTTGGTGAGGTTGCAGAGAAAAGGGAAGATTTATCCACTGTTGGTGGGAGTTTAAATTGGTTCCACCATTGTGGAAAGCACTGTGACAGTTCCTCAAAGTGCTAAAAACAGACCTACCATTTGACCCAGCAATCCCACTACTTGGTATATACTCAATAAAATATAAACTATTCTATCATAAAGACACGTGCATGCATATGTTTATTGCAGCACTAGTCACAATAGCGAAGAAATGCAATCAACCTAAATGCCCATCAATGGCAGATTGGATAAAGAAAATGTGATACATATATACCATGGTATATTATGCAGCCATAAAAAAGAATGACATCATGTCCTCTGCTGACACATGGATGGAGTTGGAGGCCATTGTCCTTAGTAAAGTAATGCAGGAACAGAAAAACAAATACAACATGTTCTCACTTCTAAGTGGGAGCTAAATGATGAGAACACATGGACACAAAGAGGAGAACAACAGACACTGGGGCTTATCAAAGTGTGGAGATTGGGAGGAGGGAGAAGAGCAGAAAAATAACTAGTAGGTACTGGCATTATTACCTGGGTGACAAAATCATCTATACAACAAATCCCCATGACACGAGTTTACCTATACATCAAACCTGCACATGTCCTCCTGAACTTAAAATCAAAGTTAAAAAAAAAGGGACAAAGTGAAACCTGATCATCAGTCTCTTACCTTGTAATATCATAGTTTATTTTTATAGCGTATTTAGTAATTTAAAATCATTTATCTTCTTGTCTATAGTTTGCTCACCATTGACTAGAAGATAAACACTTTGAAGGGACCAACATACTCTGTGTTGTTCATAGCTAGTTTTTATCCCATAATGTGTCTTCCACTGACTCTGAGGTAAACACTCTCTTATCGTACTTACTGTCTTCATCTTATAAATATGAAAAACAAGAATCAAATATATTAAGTGGCTTGTCAAGTTAATTTATTAATTTGTATCTTGATTTTGTGTACATATAATTTAACAAGAATATAATAAAATGCAAAAAAATCACAGAAGTGAAATTTTAAAATACAGAAAAGCAAAGGTAATAATAAAACAAAATGAAGCCAGAAGTGAGGTTAAGATTGCTAAGCATAACAGGTGCTATGGATGAGATCCAACTTTATCTCTAAGCTTTTTATAATCCACCACACAAAGAAGATCTTGATAAATTTTAAAAAAACAAACTGTCTATAATAAGCAGCAGAGCTTGGAATAACCGATTAATGCAATATACCTGCCTTGCAACTTATTCAGCCAACTCTTTCTTTAACATTTTATTGAGAGGTAAATAATTATATATAAATTCCTTCCAGTCTCTCGGCCTTACAGCAAGTCTGTGTATGTCACAATGCTTCCATAGATGTCTCAGAAAGACTGAGAATGCTAAAGGAGCAATGATCAATCAGGCCTCTGTCATTGTCTTCTGGTTTACTTTCTGGGCCGGTGTGTCTAGGAAATGTGATGATCATATATAGCCATTTTTGGGTGAACCTTCAATATCACAAATAAATATGTTCTTCAAAAGGTGGGAAGATGCACTCAGAATCTTAAGTGAGGAAGATTATAATACAATCTTATAAAGCTATCTTGTAAGTAGCTGCTTAAATTTCACAGAAGCTTGTGGATCTCTGGGATTATATAAGTCTAACTTTGAATAAGTGAGGCAATGGATGTGGAAAATTGCCCTCAGCTTATTCCTTTATTTTTATTTTATTTGATGATATAACTATATAACTTTGTATCCTGTGAATTATATAATTAAATAAATGTTGATCTGCAAAAATCTATTCAGAGGACATTGGAACAGTGTTTTAACATTTCATGTAGATCTTACCTTAGAGTACTGATGTTTTGGAGATGCTATTTAGCAAGGAGTATGAAAATATTTTCTGATTATATTATTTCTTTTGTTTCATTCAAATTTAAACAACTTTATACTGTAGAAAAACACACCCCAAAATATTTTCAGCTCATACTTAGTGATTTAAACTTTACACAAAAAATTATTCATGAATTAAGATAGTCTCACTCGGTCGCCCAGGCTGAGTGTAATGACACAGTCACAGCTTACTGCAGCCTTGGCTTCCATGGCTCAAGCGATCCTCCCACCTCAGCCTCCCGAGTAGCTGGGACTACAGGCATGCAACACTAACCCTGGCTAATTTTTTATTTTTTTTTTGTACAGACAGAGTCTCACCATGTTGCCCAGGATGGTCTTGAGTTCCTGGGCTCAAGTTATCCTCCTGCCTTAACCTCCCAAAGTGCTGGGGTTACAGGTGTACCACCATTCCCCGGCAAGCACTAATATATTTCAATAACTTAATGACTTAAGCTACATTAGAAGATACAATTTGCTGGATTTTATTCTATCTTTTTCTCTAAATGTTATAAAGCATCTTCTGTGTTTCAATATACACAGTACTTCATTTAATCTTATAAGGCAGTCACTATTATATAACTTATTTTAAATATTCAGAGAAGTCAAATATCTTGTTTAAATATTTTTCAGTGTCCCCCCCTTTCTTACATATTTGTGTCTGCATGTGAATATATGAATTTCTCTTTCCTATGTTAAGCTCTTAATTGATCATCTTTCTCTCTCAGTACTACCAAATATACCAAGCGCAATGAACCGTCAAAATAGGGATTGCAAAACCAGGGAGGGTTAGGATTCAGGGATCTGTCAAAAACAGGGCTCAGGATCCCCTATCTCTGCTTCATTGGGGCCATTTTGCTTTTGCCCATTTTAAATATTGGGGCTCTACAAATAATTTTTTTTGAAAAATTATCTTGAGCTAATAATAATTGGTTAAAATGAATGCTTCTTATCTCCAGAAAAATAGCAAGCGGGGCTAGAGGTCGAGATTAGAAATATTTGCATTTACACTGAATAGGGTTTCAGGGTACGGTTTTAGGCCAAGCATAATGTGGAGGCTAAGTTTTCCATGGTGTGAAAACCAAGGGCTCAGAACAGCAAAGACCTAGGAAGTCATTATAGATTCATTTGGAAAAAAAACTGCTGTATATATCATTTGATTTTCACCTTTTAATTTTTTTTTTTTTTGCATTATATAGGGCTGTGTAGGTTGGCCAAACTATTTCAAAGATCTATCTTTAAGAATGAACTCAGGAGCCTGTATTTTTTCACATTATGTGAGATTGACTATGAAGAACTTAGTACTTCTTGTCACTCACTTCTTTGTGGGAACCAGTGCCAGTTTGGACTATTGAACAAGTGGGATCTGTAGCTCATGACCTGGTAGGTTGATGAGAGTTTGTGCATATTTAACTGAGGGTTAACATGACAATAACTCATCTTCCAGAGAAAAATTAAGAGATTTCTATCAAAAGTCAAACGGATAAAGAAACCGTGATGTGTGTGTGTGTGATAAAATATTATTCAGCCTTATGAAAAGAGATTCTGACCTTTGTCACAACATGGATAAACCGAGAGGACGTTATGCTAAGTGAAATAAGCCAGACACAGAAAAAAATATTGCACGATATTACTTCTATATGGAAGCTAAAAATTGTCAAATATGTAAAGGTAGAGAATGAAACAGTATTTACCAGAGGTGAGGGGGGTGGAGAGATGTAGGCCATAGGATCTAAAGTTACAAATGTGTAAAATCAACAAGTGTAGTGATCTAACATACAACATAAAGATTATAAAGTTTTACTGTAGGTATTTCTGTTAAATTAATAGATTTTAGTTGCTCTTGCACCAAGAAAGGGTACACATGAGATGATACATATATTAAATTACTTAACTATAGTGACCATTTTACTATTTATATGTATCTCATAACATCATATTGTATAACTTAAATATACACAATAAATTTTTTTAAAAAAGATGTTAATTACCTATAAATGAATTAACCTATTTACCTATAAATGAAAATACATTTAAATTCCAAATGTATTTAAGCCAAGACACAATATGAAAATATTTCTAGGTAAGTACATTTAAAATGCAAAAACATGAGTAAACCTATATACAAATATGTTTACATATATATGAGTAAACATATGTTACCCAAGAAATATGAGAGTGAGGAAGAATGAAGTACACAAACTGAGAAATTAATTTAGCAGCCCAAGCAAGAAAGAGATTCAGTGGACAATACTGTGTCATTTTCTGGTGAAAGGAAGCAAACAATTTAAACTACCAAAACAACTGTTTTCTTGACACTACATTCTAAGGATATATGGGGGAAAACGTATATTCAACTTCTGTTATTAAATAAATACAGCAATGCTTTTCAAATGGATGGTATTTAAATAGATTCTCCAGAAAAGCTGAGTGTCACATCAAATCAAATTTCAGTACAGGCATTTCTGTGGGAACAAGGGAATCTAGTTCAGGAAGAGTAAATGATCATTCAATAGGGGACCAAAGCTTAGAGTACTCGGAGGAGGGAGTTCATGAGATCCTTTAGTATGTTTTTCTCAAATTTGAACCCTAGGCTTATACTATGAATTTATTTTGGCTAATTAATAAGGAAGGGTTGGGGAGGGAACAAAACTCCACTAAGAAGCATAAAATAAGATTAGAAGCTTTTCACTTCTGTCCCAAGTATCAATATTTCACCACAAAACTTCATATTCTTTATCTTCAAGGATACCACAGATTGGTTTGGGTGTAGTCTGGGGACAGAAACAGCCTTTATCATGCAGAGAATAAAAGCATGGTTAATTTGAAAAGCAGCATTATGGATTGAAGCTGAAATTAAGACCCAAACAAACAGTTGACCAGAAACATTACTCCAAAAGTACAGAAGAGAGTGTAAATAGCCAGTGTGATGTGATCAAATACATGATAGGTCAGAGAACAATCGGTTGCATAACAGATTATGGCAGGCATCTGCTGGACATATTGTTAGGGAAGCTTGCAAGTTTTATATGGAACTCACTGGTATTTTCTATATATAGGCCACTGATCAGTTTTTATAATTTTCAATTTTTGTGGGTACATAGTAGGTGTATATATTTATGGGGTACATGAGATTCTTTGATACAGGCAGGCAATGCATAATAATATCATCATGGTAAATGGGGTATCCATCCTCTCAAGCATGTATCCTTTGTGTTACAACCAATCCACCAACTCTTAAAGGCAATCAATTTTGCTTCATATATCAGGCAATAAGGAAACTCACAAATATTTACTTTGAATGTATATTCACATATTGGATTTAAATGTATATTGCTCCTTCTAGACTGTGAGCTTCATGAGGAAAGAGGCTGTCTTATTTATCACCAAACACCCAGTGAGAATCACATGGCTTGACAATTATAAGATAGTAGAAAATGTTTGTTGAAGGACAGAATTACTCCTTCTATGTTTTTTTTTTTTATTTAATAATAGCTACTTTACAAGAACGGAGAGATGGCATTATCCCTATGTTATGAGTGAGGATGTAAGACTCTGAACATTTAAATAACTTATACATGTTACAGACTCATCCATCCACTTAATAAATAACAGTGCTGTCATTTGAGGGCAAGTCTTCATTACACCAAAGCCCGTTATGCGACACTCTCTCCTTATCAAACGAACACAGTAAACACACACAATGCACAAATCACAGTGTTAGGTATTTCAGATGGTGCAAAAATAAATAAGATAAGGTCCCTAGGCCAGGTGCGGTGGCTCACGCCTGTAATCCCAGCACTTTGGGAGGCCAAGGCGGGCGGATCATGAGGTCAGGAGATCGAGACTATCCTGGCTAACATGGTGAAACCCCGTCTCTACGAAAAATACAAAAAATTAGCCGGGCGTGGTGGCAGGCGCCTGTAGTCCCAGCTACTCGGGAGGCTGGGGCAAGAGAATGGCATGAACTCGGGAGGCGGAGCTTGCAGTAAGCCGAGATTGTGCCACTGCTCTCCAGCCTGGGCAACAGAGCGAGACTCCGTCTCAAAAAAATAAAAAAATAAATAAAATAAAATAAGGTCCCTGGCCTCTGACTAGCCTCTGAAGCAAGAAAAACAAAGGGTCATACAACATTAAAACACAAACTTTTTTTCAGATCTAAGGATATTGAAAACAATCACAATATTTTTCTCTTAATGGGATAGCACAAACTTTTTCTGTTAATGGGAGAGGATCTGAAGTTTTTGATGAGAAGCTTGAAAGACTGACAATAGAAGTATTTAAAAAGTCTGATGCACATGGACGTGGGAGGTGTGGTAGGCAGAATTTTGGTCCTCATAGCCTTCTCTGGGTCTTTTCTCTGCTCTGAGTGTGTTATATATTACATGCCAAAATAGACCTTACAGATGTAATTAAGGTTCAGTGGCATTAAAATAATATTATCCTGGATCATCTGGATAGAACCAACAAAATCCCAAAATCACACGAGCTACTCCTTTTACCTCCATTTGTGGAGATCCAGATTTCTTTACTGAATCTTTTCTTTCTCTTTGGTTATATTGGCTATATTGATTAGTTATGGCATATATATATATATATATATATATATATATATATATATATATATCTTTCATCTTTTTATGGAATCAGCTTTTGTTTTGTCAATTCTCTCATATTTTTATTTTACATGCCATTTATTTTGCCCTTAATTATATTTTTGCCTCTTATTCTTTTCTGATTTATTCTGTTGATTTCTTTTAACTTTAATTCATTGAAAAGGTGTTATATTTTAATTTTTTCACATATACAAATTATAATTCAAACCTATTAAATTCCTCTCTAAGATGGACTTTAGACACATTTCTCTATTTTGATGGATACCAGTTTTATTGTTATTAAGCTCAAAATATCGCATAATTTACATTGCAATTCAATATTTAACATATCGATTATTTAGTGTTTTTCCTGTCAAGATATATAGAATGAAATTCTATATATATTCTTTCCAATATATATATAGGAATGAAATAATGGCACTCACAGCAACCTGATTGGAATTGAAGACTATTATTCTAAGTGAAGTAACTCAGGTTGGAAAACCAAATATTATATGTTCTAACTCATGTGGGAGCTAAGCTAAGAGGATGCAAAGTCATAATAATGATACATTGGACTTTGGGGACTCAGGGAAAGGGTAGGTGGTGGTGAAGATAAAAAAATACACATTGAGTACAGCATACAATGCTCAGGTGCTCAGGTGATGGGTGTACCAAAATCTCAGAAATCACCACTAAAGAATTTATTCATGTACCCAAACACCATCTGCTCCCCAAAAACCTATTGAAATAAATAATAAACAAAATTATGGTGGTTAGTAAGACAGGATTTGAAGACAGATTTTCTGACTTTCAATTCTTATTCTGCTACCTACTAATTGTATAACCTTGACTAAGCATAAGGAAATGTAATACCTCTGTGTTTCAGTTTCCTACTCAATAAAATTGTTGGAAGGATTAAATAAATAAATGTATGTAAAATACTTAGAAAAGTGGCACATGGTAAGCATTTAATAAGTATTAGTGTTATTATGGAATAAAAGCAAGACTGTACATATGAGAAAATTCATGGTCCAAAGAAGTTGTATTATCAAGGAAGAATTGAATGAAAACAAGTGAACTTGAGATGAAATTCAGAAAGTTAAAAGTACTAACAAAACAAAACCATAGGAGCTGATATTGTTTGGCTCTGAGTCCCCACCCAAATCTCATCTCAAATTATAATCATCACATGTCCAGGGAGGGACCTGGTGGGAGGTAATTGGATCATGGGGACGGTTTCCCCCATGCAGTTCTTGTGATAGTGAGGGAGTTCTCATGAGAGCTGATGGTTTAAAAGTGGAAGTTTTCCCTGTACTGTCTCTCTCTTCTGCTGCCATGTAAGACATGTCTTGCTTCCCCTTTGCCTTCTACCATAATCATAAATTTTCTGAGGCCTCCCCGGTCATGTGAAACTGAGTCAAATCAACCTCTTTTCTTTATAAATTGTCCAGTCTCAATTAGTATCTTTATAGCAGTGTAAAAATAGACTAAACCCCAGCACTTTGGGAGGCCAGGGCGAGTGGATCACTTGAGGTCAGGAGTTCAAGACCAGCCTGGCCAACATGGCAAAACCTCATATCTACTAAAAATACAAAAAAATAGCCAGGCTTGCTGGCAGATGCCTGTAATCCCAGCTATTCAGGAGGCTGAGGCAGGAGGATCACTTGAACTTAGGAGGTGGAAGTTGCAGTGAGTCAAGATTGTGCCACTGCACTCCAGCCTGGGCAACAAGAGTGAAACTCCATCTCAAAAAAAAAAAATACTAATACAGAGATTTGGTACTGGCAGAGTGGGGTACTGCTATAAAGACAACCTGAAAATGTGGAAGCAGCTTTGGAATTGGGTAACAGGCAGAGGTTGCAACAGTTTGCAGGGCTCAGAGGACAGGAAGATGTGAGAAATTTTGAAAATTCCTAGAGACTTGGTGAATGGCTTTGACCAACATGTCAATAGTGTTATGGATGATAAAGTCCAGGCTAAGGTGTTCTCAGATGAAGATGAGGAACTTCTTGGGAACTGGAGCAAAGGCCGCTCTTGCTATGCTTTACCAAAGAGACTGGTGGCATTTTCCCCCTGCCCTAGAGGGGCAAAGTTCTGTCAAACTTTGAACTTGAGAGAGATGATTTAGAGTATCTGGCAGAAGAAATTTCTAAGCAGGAAAGCATTCAAGAGGTGACCTGGCTTTTTCTGAAACATTCAGTCATATGCATTTACAAATAGATGGTTTGAAATTGGAACTTATGTTTTAAAGGGAAGCAGAGAGTAAACATTTGGAAAATTTGCAGCCTGACCACGTGGTAGAAAAGAAAAACCCATTTTCTGGAGAGAAATTAAAGCTGACTGCACAAATTTGCGTAAGTAATGAGGAGCCCAATGTTAATCACCAAGACAATGTGAAAAATGTCTCCAGGGAATTTTAGAGATCTTAAATTCAGCTCCTCCCATCACTGGCCAGGAGGCCTAGGAGAGAAAAATGGTTTTGTGGGCTGAGCCCACACCTCTGCTGCTCTGTCCATCCTCAAAACTTGGTTCCCTGCATCCCAGCCACTCCAGCTCCAGCCATTGCTTAAAAGGAGTTAACATACAGCTCAGGCTTAAGCCTTAATGGCTTCCACATGGTGTTGGGCCTGTGGGTGCACAGAAGTCAAGAATTGAGGCTTGGGAACTTCTCCCTAGATTTCAGAGGATATATGGAAATGCTTGAATGTCTAGGTAGAAGTCTGCTGAAGGGGCAGAGCCCTCATGGAGAAGCTCTGCTAGGGCAGTGTGAAAGGGAAATGTGGGATTGGAACTCCCACACAGAGTCCCCACTGGGGCACTGCCTAGTGGAGCTGTGAGAAGAGGCCCACTGTCCTCTAAACCCCAGAATGGTAGATCCACCAACAGCTTACACCACGTGCCTGGTGAAGGTGCGGACACTCAATGCCAGCCCATGAAAGTAGCTGGGAGGTGGGCAGTATCCTGCAAAGCCACAGGAGAAGAGCTGCCCAAGACCATGGGAACCCACCTCTTGCGTCAGCGTGACCTGGATGTGAGACATGGAGTCAAAAGACATCATTTTGGAGCTTTAAGATTTAAGGGTTCCCCTGCCAGGTTTCAAACTTGCATGGGACCTGTAGCCTTTTTGTTTGGGCTAACTTCTCCTATTTGGAATGGGAACATTCACCCTGTGCCTCTACCCCATTGTATCTTGGAACTAACTAACTTGTTTTTGATTTTACAGGCTCATAGACAGAAAGGACTTGCCATGTCTCAGATAAAATTTTGGACTTGGACTATGGGGTTAATGCTGGAATGAGTTAAGACTTTGGGGGACTGCTTGGAAGACATGATGGCATAATTGGTTTTGAAATGTGAAAAGCACATGAGATTTGGAAGGGGCCGGGGTGGAATAATATGGTTTGCATCTGTGTCCCCACACAAATCTCATCTCAAATTGTAATCCCCAAGTGTCAAGGGAGAGATCTGGTGTGAGGTGATTGGGTCTTGGGGTTTGAGGTGATTGGTTTCACCAATGCTGTTCTTGTGATAGTGAGGGAGTTCTCACAAGATCTGATGGTTTAACAGTGGCAGTTTTCTCTGCACTCTCTCTCTGTCCTGCTGTCATGTAAGATGTGCCTTGCTTCTTCTTCACCTTTGGTCATGATTGTAATTTTCTTGAGGCCTCACCAGCCATGCGGAACTGTGAGTCAATTAAACCTTTTTTTAAAAATTAATTACCTAATCTCAGGTATTTTTTATGGGAATGTAAAAATAGACTAATTCAGGAACTATGAGAAATGAATTATTAACTTTAAGAACATAAATTATTGGATTGAGAGTATAGATGAAAATTAATTCAAGCACTGGCACATTGAAAAGATAATTGAAATAGACAATTTTGGAAAATCCAATTATGAATCAGAAACAGAAAATAAAATATATGCTATCACAAATTAGGAAGGAAATAAAATTACTAATAATGATAGTGATTAGTTGCTCATTTTCCATCTTGTCATTTGCCTCTAGGAAAATTAAGTTATTTGTCTGGAGATTAAAGCCAAGTGACAAGATTCAAAGTCATGTAGTAGAAACATGGTTTCCTTATAATTCTGTGAGTCAATGAAAATGTAAGCAGCTGAATGACTCTCAGATAGAGGGAAATAAAATGGCAGAGAGATGGGAAAGTAGGAATCAAAGATCAGGTGCTTGGGAAGTCCTTAGGAATGCAACATTATTTGGAATAGAAGCTTGGACTTGGTAAACTTGGCAAATGTTCTCACTTATTCTTGTGTACATCTCCTCTGTCTTTCCCTAATTGTGAATAAATATTACTTTTGAAAAAGCCATCCTGGTTCAGCTAGATTAAGGGAAGCAAAGGAACACGGTTGGGCCAGGGACTGAGAGAAGTGGTATCACAGTGTTGAGTGTTGGATATGATGGCAATTTTAAAGAACCCTAAGAGTTTAGGTGAAATTGACAGGGTCTTGGAAAACACAATTTCTTTTTCATTGGGACATTATTTGATTGTCATTTTCATAATGTAATTGTTTCCAGTACCCAAAAGTGTGCTTGGCACATAGTAAATGCCGAATACATTTCTGCTGAATGATTGAGGCCTTCCTTATAAAGGCAAACCAGGTAATTCTTTTATCTTACCCTAGCAAATGTCTCACAGTGAAGATAACTTTATGGCAGAAGTGAGGCAAAGGTGTTTCCAGGTTGCTGCTGTTTTTTTAACAAGGTTGCCCTACTCAGTCCATTAAGTATTTCTGCTCTCCGCATCCACTGGTCTTTTGCCTTTGGTGATAATTATCAGGCACCTGTGTGTAAATAGGATTATAAGTAATTAACTAGAACTTTATTTACTAAACACATCTAATCAGAGAAGACTCTGGCTGTGGCAATCAGTGAAAAGTGTCATCCTCCTGTGATTTTCCAGGCAACAATAACAACAGCACTAATAGCTCACAGTTATTAGTGCATCCACCAGCATTCAGAGTAGCAATTTCAAACCAAGTGTGATGGTAAAGGGACTTTGCAGATTGTGCTGATATTTTCACTAATAACCCACGATTAAAATTTAATTCAGGCCTGTAACCTTGCCTACTCTTGAGATTACTAGGCAATATTTCTGGCCAAAAATTAAGCTGCACATTTGTAGTTCTTACAAAGATGTGGGAAATATCATGACTTATTTTAAAAGACATGGGCTTAAGAAGCAAGTAGTCCTGGTTCAAATACTTTCTGTGCCACTTAGTAGGTATCTGACTTTGGGAAAGTTATTTTTTTTCTCTCTGAACTTTTTAACTGAAAACATCACTGAATAAGGAAAATAATATCTATCTTGATAAGCAATAGAAGATAGTGGTTAAAAGTGTAGGCTCTGTACATGCCTCACCCATTGCAACCAGTGCGGACATGTACCATCAGGGGCCTTAAGGACAAGGTCACTATGATCACTTCCATCAGTGTCCACGTGTGTTATTCAGGGTTCTGGGGATGAATTTGTTCTGTTTGCTGGTGCCAGTGCACACCGTCCAAAAAGCAGAGGATGGGTCCACTCTGCCCACACTGATGCCTATGTGCATCTCATAGGGGCCTGAAGACTGGCCCACCCAGCTTGCCACTAATACCACCACTGGCATCCATCTTCATGCACCACCCAGGGGCCAGAGAACTGGGATTTCCAGCCCACTGCTGCCATTGCTAGTGTCCATGTGCAGCACTATGGGGCTTTCATGTTGGCCTGCCACTGCTTCTGCCATAATCAATGCCACATATGCCATTCAGGGGCCTAAGGACCCTTCCACCCACCCAGCCCACAACTGTCACTGCTGGCACATAAGCAAGTTTTCTTGAGGCTCAAGGACCAGCCCGCCTAGCCTGCCTGGCATTGCCATCCCTAGGAAAGCCTCACCATAGCCTCTAATAACAAGTGCAGCCTAAGCCACTGAGAAACAGACACCACTGACAGTGATTGTAGCTGAAGAAGTCATACAGAAACTACATTACTGTACCTACCCAGAATCAAAGCCAAAGTAGTCTACCAAGCCAACACTACAAATAGATATGTAGAAAAATGTATTTCCCTGTGGAAACCATTGCATAAAATTGGAAAAAGTGACGATTACACCAGATGCACATATATGAACATAAGAACGCAAGAAACATGAAAAGGAAATATGTAACTTCTGGAAGAACACAGTATTTCTCCTGTAACAGATCCTAATGAAAAGGAAATCTATTACATGTCTGAAAAAGAATTCAAAATAACAATTTTAAAGAAATTCAGTAAGATACAACAGAATGCACGTAAACAATACAGTTGTCCCTTGAACAACATGGGTTTGAACCATGTGGGTACACTTATACATGAATTTTTATGTAATAAATGCAGTCAATCTTCCATATCTGAGGTTTCGCTTCTACAGCCAAATGCAGATTAAAAATACAGTATTTTGGGGTTGCAAAACCCACATATATGGAAGGCAGACTTTTCATATACACGAGTTCTGTAATGCTGACTACAGGATTTGAGTATGTGTGGATATTGGTAGATGTTGGAGATCCTGGAACCAAACCCACATGTATACTGAAGCACAAGTAAACAAAGAAATAATAATAAATTTATGAACAAGATGACAAATTCAACAAATAGATGTCATAAAAAAGAACCAAACAGAAATCCTGGAACTGAGGAATTCAATGAGTAAAATAAAAAAAAAATACAATGCAGAATAGACTACCTCAAGCAGGAGAAATAATTTCTAAACTCTTAGACTGATCTTTTGAAATAACTCAATCCAACCAAAAGAAAAAAAATAAAGAAAAAAGAAAAAAAAGAATGAAGAAAGTCTACATGACATACTTGACACTATAGAGCACACAAATGTTTAAATTTCAGGAGTTCCAGAAGGGCAAGAGATGGGCAAAATCATTGAAAACTTATCAATAAAATAATAGCTGAAAATTTCCAAGTCTTGCAATCTAGAAAATAAAACCAGGAGGAACTTTGGAAACTGTACAAATGCATACAAATTAAACAACTTGATCCTAAATGACCTATGGGTAAATTTAAAAAAACTAAAAATAAAATCAAACAAATTGTGAAAACAAAAGAAAATAGAAACACAGCATATTAAAACCTATATGATACAACAAGAGCAGTGCTAAGAAAGAAGTATATAGTAAAAAAAAAACACTATATCAAAAAAGTAGAAAGATTTTAATAAATAACTTAATGGTACACCTCAAGGAACTAACCAAACACAAGATTATTAAGGATACACATCAGGAACAAACCAAACCCAAAATTCTTAAAAAGAAAGAAATAATAAAGATCAGAATGAAATTCAATGAAATAGAAAATTTTTAGAAATACAAAAAAAAATCAATGTAACAAATAGAATTGAAAAAATAAAACCAAAAAATTAATGAAGCACTAACTAGATTAACCAAGAAAAGGGGGAAAAGATCCAAATAAATGAAATCAGAAATGAAAAAGGAGACATTTCTACTGATAAGCACAGAAACATAAAGATTATTATAGGGTATTATTAACAACTATATGCTAACAAATTGGAAAGCCTAGAGAAAAATAAGTTTCTGGACACTTAAAACCTACCAAGTTTGAATCAGAAAGAAATAGGAAACCTGAAGCCAAAAATAATGAGTTACAAAATGTAATCATTAATAAAAAGTCTTCTAACAAAAACAAGCCCAGGATCAGATGGTTTTATTGCTAAATTATCCCATACTTATAAACAACTAACATCAATTCCTCTCAAACTATTCCATAAAACTGAAGTGGAGGAAATTCTCCCTAACTAATTCTATTAGACCAGAATTACCATGATACTAAAACCAGTCAAGAACATAAAAAAAAAAAATAGACAAATAAACAAACATAAAAAAACTACAGGGCAATATTCCTCGTGATTCCTGATGAACACAAATGCATTTTTTTTTACAAAATATTAACAAACTAAATCCAGTAACACATCAAAAAGATAATACACAATTATAAGATGGAGTTAAATCCAGGGATGTAACATGGTTCAACATAAGCAAATCAATAAATGAGATACATCATACCAATATAATGGACAAAACAAATACCATTTATCTCAATAGATACAAAAAACATTTGATAAATTCAACATCCCTTCGTGATAAAACTCTCAACAAATAAGGCATAGAAGGAACATGCTTCAAAATAATAAAGGTCATATAAGACAAACCCACAGCTAACATCACACTGAATGGGAGAAAGCTGAAAACCTTTCTTTTAATAATTGAAACAAGACAAAAATGTCAATTTTACTAGTCTTACTTAATATGGTATTGGAAGTCCCAGTCAGAGAAATCAGTCAAGAGAAAGAAAAAGAAATGCATCCAAATTGTAAAAGAAAAAAAATCAAACGGTCTTTCTTTTCCAAAGACATGCTCTTATATATAGAAAAATCTTAAGTCCTGACAAAACACTCTTATAACTGACAAATTCAGTAAAGTTGCTGCATACAAAAGCAACATACAAAACTCCAATAGTTTATACATCAGTAATCACATTAGCTGAAAAATAAATAATGAAAACAATCTCATTTACAGTAGCTACCAAAAGAAAAACCCACTGAGAAATAAATTAAACCAAGAAAGTGAAAGACCGCTACAACAAAAACCACAAATCACTGGCAGAAGAAATTGAAGAGAACACAAACAAAAGGAAAGACATCCCATGCTAATGATTCAAAAAATATTGTTAAGATGGCCATACCACCTGATATGGTTTTGCTAAGTCCCTACCCAAATCTTATCTTGAATTGTAATTACCATACCACAATGAGAGGGACCTGGTGGGAGGTAATTGAATGATGGAGGCAGGTTTCTCATGCTGTTCTAATGACAGTGAATAAGTCTCATGAGATCGGATGGTTTTATAAAAGTCAATTCCCCTGCCCCTGCTCTTTTGCCTGCCACCATAATATGTGCCTTTGCTCCTCTTTTGCTTTCTGCCATGATTGTGTGGCCTCCCCAGCCATGTGGTACTGTGAGTCCATTAAACCTCTTTTTGTTCATAAATTACCCAGTCTCAGTTATTTCTTCATAGCAGTATGAAAATAGACTGGTACAGTGAATAGGTACTGGTAGAGTGGGGTACTACTATTATGATACCCAAAAATGTAAAAGCAACTTTGGAACTGGTTAACAGGCAGAGGGTGCAACAGTTTTGAGGGCTCAGAAGAAGACCGGAAAATGTGGGAAAGTTTGGAACTTCCTAGAAATGTAGAGGACTCAGAAGACAAAAAGATTTGGAAAAGTTGGAAACTTCCTAGAGACTTGTTGAATGGCTTTGACCAAAATGCTGATAGTGATATGGACAATAAAGTTCAGGCTTAGGTGGTCTCAGATGGAGGTGAGAAACTTGTTTGGAAACTGGAGCAAAGGTGACTCTTGTTATGCTTTAATAAAGAGACTGGCGGCTTTTTGCCTCTGCCCTAGAAATCTGTGAAACTTTGAACTTGAGATAGATTATCCAGGGTATTTGGCAAGAGAAATTTATAAGCAGCAAAGCATTCAAGAAAAAGCAGAGCATAGACGTCTGGAAAATTTGCAGCCCAATGATGCAAGATAAAAGAAAAACCCATTTTCTGGGAAGAAACTCAAGCCAGTTGCAAAAATTTTCATAAGTAAAGAGGTGCAGAATGCTAATCACCAAGACAATGGGAAAAATGTCTCCAGGGCATGTCAGAGACCTACACGGCAGCCCCTTCCATCACAGGCCCAGAGACCTAGGAGGGAAAAATGATTTCATGGGCAGGGTTCAGGGCCCCCATGCTGTGTGCCCTGCATCCCCTTGGGACTTGGTGCCCTGCATCCCAGGCGCTCCAGCCATGGCTAAAAGGGGTCAATGTACAGTTCAGTCCATTGCTTCAGAGGGTCCAAGACCCACACCTTGGCAGCTTCCACATCGTGTTGGGTCTGTGGGTACAGATAAGTCAAGAATTGAGGTTTGGGAACCTCTGCTTAGATTTCTAAGGATGTATGAAAATGCCTGGATGTCCAGGCAGAAGTCTGCTACGGGGGTACAGCCTTCATGGAGAGCCTCTGCTAGGGCAGTTCAGAAGGGAAATGTGGGGTGGGAGCCTCCACACAGAGGCCCCACTGGGGCACTGCCTCATGGAGCTGTCAGAGGAAGGCCACCATCCTCCAGATGCCAAAATTGTAGATCCACTGACGGCTTGCACCATGTGCCTGGAAAAACTGCAGACACTCAATGCCAGCCTGTGAAAGCAGCCAGGATGTGGGCTGTACCCTGCGAAGCCATAGGGACAAAGCTGCCCAAGACCATGGGAACCCACCTCTTGCCTCAGGATGACCTGGATGTGAGACATGGAGTTAAAGGAGATCATTTTGGAACTTTAAGATTTGACTGCCCCACTAGATTTTGTACTTGCATGGGGCCTGTAGCCCCTTTGTTTTGGCCAATTTCTCCCATTTGCAATGGGTGTATTTACCCAATGCCTGTACGTCCATTGTATCTAGAAAGTAACTAACTTGCGCTGGGTGCAGTGGCTCATGCCTGTAATCCCAATACTTTGGGAGGCAGAGGAGGGTGGATCACCTGAGGTCACGAGTATGAGACCACCCTGGCCAACATGGCAAAACCCTATTTCTACTAAAAATACAAAAATTAGCTGGGAGCGGTGACATGTGCCTATAATCCCAGCTACTCAGGAGGCTGAGGCAGGAGAGTCACTTGAACCTGGGAGGCGGAGGTTGTAGTGAGCTGAGATTGTGCCACTGCACTCCAGCCTGGATGACAGAGCAAGACTCTGTCTCAAAAAAAAAAAAAAGTTACTAACTTGCTTTTAATTTTATAGGCTCATAGGTGGAAGAGACTTGCCTTATCTCAGATGAGACTTTGGTCTGTGGACTTATGAGTTAATGCTGGAATAAGTTAAGACTTTGGGGGACTGCTGGGAAGGCAAGATTGGTTTTGAAATGTGAGGACATGAGATTTGGGAGGTGCTGCAGTGGAATGATATGGTTTGGCAGTGTCCCCACCCAAATCTCATATTGAATTGTAGTTCCCATAATCCCCACTTGTAATAGGAGGCACCCAGTGGGAGGTAATTGAATAATGGGGGCTGGTTTTCCTATGCTTTTCTCATGATAGTGAATTAAGTCTCACAAGATGTGATGATTTTATAAAGGACCGTTTCCCTGCACACCCTCTCTTGCCTGCCTCCGTGTAAGATGTGCCTTTGCTCCTCCTTTGCTTGTTGCCATGATTGTGAGGCCTTCTCAGTTATGTGGAACTGTGAGTCCATTAAACCTTTTTTTCTTTATAAATTACCCAATCTCAAGTATTTTTTCATAGCAATATGAAAATGGACTAATACACTACCCAAAACAATTTACAGATTCAATTCATTCCCTAATGAAGTACCAGTTTTGTCACAAAAAGAGGAAAAACAATTATAAAATTTGTAGGGAACTACCAAAGACCCCAAATAGTCAAAGTAATACTGAGCAAAAAGAACAAAACCGGAGGCATGAAACTACCTGACTTCGGAATATACTTCAAAGGTATAGTAAGGAAAACAGAATGGTAATTAGACCCTTAGTCTCACTGCATACAAAAGTCAACTTAAAATGGATTAGAAACTTAAATATAAGACCCAAAATTACATAACTAGTAGAAAAAAAATCATAGGAAAACCCTTCAGGGCATTGGTCTATGTAAATATTTTATGGCTAAGGCTTAAAAAAGATAGGCACCTACTAATCCATCATCTAGGTATTAAGTCCAGTATGCATTAGCTATCTTTCCTCATGCTCTCCCCTCTCACTCTCCACCAACAGGCCACAGTATGTGTTGTTCCCCTCCCCATGTGTTGTGCCCATATGTTGTCATTGTTCAGCTTCCACTTATAAGTAAGAACATGTGGTATTTGGTTTTCTGTTCTTGTGTTAGTTTGCTGAGGATAATGGCTTCCAGCTTCATCCATGTCCCTGCAAAGGACATGATCTCATTCCTTTTTATGGCTGCATAGTATTCCATTTATGGTACATAGTATATGTACCACATTTTCCTTATGCAGTCTATCATCGATAGATATTTGGGCTGATTCCATGTCTTTACTATTGTGAATGGTGCTGCAATGAACATACACGTGCATGTATCTTTATAATAGAATGACTTATATTTCTTTGGGTGTATACCCAGTAATGGGATTGCTGGGTCAAATGGATGGCACATGCTTACCTATATAACAAACCTGCACATCTTGCACATGTACCCTGGAACTTAAAAAATAAAATAATTTAAAGTAAAAAGGTAGGCAACAAAAACAATACGGAGATTTTTCAAAAACCTAAAAATGGAACTACCATATGATCCAGCATTCTCACTACTGGGTATTTCTTTAAGGGAAAGGAAT
Organism: Homo sapiens; assembly: GCF_000001405.40. NCBI lineage: Eukaryota > Metazoa > Chordata > Mammalia > Primates > Hominidae > Homo > Homo sapiens. The sequence goes on from NC_000023.11 coordinate 146,797,458, forward strand.
TAAATATATCAAAGGGATACTTGCACCCTTTGATGTTTATTGAAGGACTATTCACAGCAGCAAAGATATGGAAACAACCCATATGTTCATTAATGGATGAATCAGTAAAGACAATGTGGTATATATACATGGTAGAATACTATTCAGCCATAAAAAATAATGAAATGCTGCCATTTGCAGCAGCATGGATGAAACTGAAGGTCACTATGTTAAGTGAAATAAACCAGGAACAGAAAGATAAATATTGCATTTTTCCATATGTGGGAGGGAAAAATTGATTTTATTGAGGTAGAAAGTAGAATAATAGCTACCAGAGCCTAGAAAGGGTAGAGAGTTAAAGAGAGTTTGTTTAATGTCTACAAGTGTAAAGTTAGATAGGAAAAAAATAAGTTATAATGTTAAATAGCACGGTATTATTGTGTATTTCCAAATAGCTAAAAGAGAAGAGTTGAAATGTTACCAACACAAAAAAATGATAAATGAGGTGTTGGATACCCTAAATATCCTGATTTTACCATTTTACATTGTATGTATGTAATAAAATATCACATGTACCCCATAAATATGTACAAATATTATGTATCAATAAAAAATATAGATTCTGTGTTCCACTTCTGCTTAAGGCATGGGGGTTGAATTAACACACTCGCATCTTAATGATAATAAAGATTCAGATAAACTAGAAAATTATAACTTTTCCTGAGTCCATCAGAGAGCTGATATTGCACACAAAAAGGGATGCTTCTTTCTCCCCAAGGAGAGATGAGATACGCACACTGTCTCATTCAAGACAGAGCACCGGAAGAATATATTACTTTCATTAAAGTAGGTAAGAAAAAATCAGGAACATTCTGAATGAATGAATTAAGGCTGAGTGTGTGTTAGTGTGACAGTACCAAATGCCTGGTATGAACAGACACAAGATGAATTAACATTAGCTTTCAGGCTCTTTTTTTTTTTTTTTTTTTCATGGATCTCCAGTATTTTCTCAAGAGAAAGATTGGAGGCAGGGTAGGGGACCAGAGAGAACCTTCCTTGTTGATGCAAGCGTACAACAAGGGATCAGATGCCACTACAGGAAAGATACGAAGCCCTGCACCAACCACTGCTTGAATCTTATTTCAAAATACTTAACCTGCTGGTGAAAGGGCAATAAACGGTGTCATCCTCAGGGCACAGGTAAAGACAGATTGTTACTAGAGGAAGGGCAGAGGAAAAGTCAAACTCTTCATGTCTAGAGGAAGGGTAGGTAATAGTACAGGGCCCAGGATTACTTATCAATCCCATTAGAAGTCTCCTGCTGCTGAAAGGTGGAGTGAAATTTATCTCCCACACAAAACTCATAATACAAGATTCAGGTTTGGCTGCCATAAGGCATATGGCTTGGAAAACTGAGAAACACACCTCTGAAGACCAGGTTCACAGGGCCTAACTGAGACTGAGTCTGAACCAGAACAATAGAGAACTCTCTCTCCATGTCCCTAACCTATCAAGCATAAATAACCAGCAAGAGCAGTCTACCACTAGTTAACTGGCAAAATTATGCAGAGAGACTCCCTGTATACAGCAGACATATAGAGACATCAGAAAGCTAAGGATAGAGCACAAACTTTGAGAAACCCTCTACAGAAACTCCCAGCACTCAATCTCAAGACAAGCTCATGATAGAGGCTGTTGCCAGTGAATAGCCACAAGGTAACCATAGCAAAAATAAAACATAAAACCTCAACCTAACTCCTGACTAGATTAATTCAGTTCCCCACATGAATTTCCTGAAAAGGACATATAAATTTCCAGACATAAATGCTATTCGCCTTGGTCTTTCTTATTCTACATATGAAGCTGTTTGGCTTTCAACTAAAAAATTGCAAGACAGAAAAAACAAGCAAAAACATCCTATTTTGAAGAGACAAACCAATATAATCAAATTCAGAGATCAATCAGATGTTGAAAGAGGCAAAGATTTTAAAATAACCAATATGAATATGATAATCTAATAGAAAATGGGGGCAACGTGCATAAACACCTAGAGAATTTCAGCAGAAACATGGAAATTATGAGAAAGACACAAATAGAAATTCTAGAGAAAAAAGAGTATAATATCAGAGATAAGGAATTATTATGAGAGGTTTGTAAGTTGACATTACATAGCCAAAGAAATAATCATGGAACATAAGAGAGATGAATATAAATTATCCAACCTGCATGTAAATATTTAAAAAGGCATGTAAAAAGGGAGGAGAAATGAATATCCAAGAGCTCTGAAGCGAGATCAAAAAATCTAACATACATGTTATAAGTGTACTTGTAATTCCAGGAAAAGAAAAAAGGAACAAAGCAAATGAAATATTTGAAGAGACAATGGTCAAGAATTTTCCAGAAATAAAGGCAGACATTCAATCCACAAATGCAAGCAAGATACATAACTCCATCTCTCTGTTTCTTTTTCTCTCATTTCCCGTCTCTTTCTCTCTGTCTGCTACAAACCAAAGAGAAAGATCAAATTACACTCAGAGTAAAAAATGTGAGAATTATTACAGACTTCTCCCCAGAAACAATGAAAAAAATAAATAAATAAATTGTCATTTTTGATGTATAAATACAATAAAACTGTCAATCTAGAATTCTATGCTTATTGAACATTTTTAATAAGGAAGATGAAATCACATATACTTTTAGATAAAAACAGCTGAGAGATTTTCTATCAGGAGAGATGCACTAAAAGAAATGACAAAGGAAGTTCTTAAAGCAGAAGGAGCATGATATCAAGCAGGAATTTGAATATACACAAAGAAATGAAAAGCTCCAGAGAAGATAAAAATATCATTATATAAAATATTATTTCTTATGTTTGACTTTACTAAAAGTAACTGAATTTTTAAAGTAACAGTAGTAACAATATATTGTGCTGTACAAATAAGACAAAAAAGTAATAGCACAAACAATAACAGTTAAAAACTGGATCTACATGGTGTCTTTCTCGCTATTAATACATATGAAGTAGAGTAACATTAATACATATGAAGTAGAATAACATTTGAATATACACTGTGATATGTTAATTGTGTGTATTGTAAAACTTAGAAAAATGACTAAAAACATAGGTTTAAAAAATAAGCTAATAGTGTAGTTAAAGGAGATAATAAAGAAAATTCATTTAGTATCTGCAGAAATGGTAATATAAAGTAAGTAACAAATGGAACAAGTAGAAAACAACTGGTAAGTTGGTAGAGGTATATTCAACTATATCGATAACTGGATTACATATACATTGTTAAAATATCCCAACTTAAATGAAAGAAGTTTCCAGATGGGACACGGAATAAGACATAACTAAAGGTTATATGGAAGAATGTTCTTTTAAATATAAAGATGTAGATAGTTTAAAAGATGGAAACATATTTACCATAAAACCTCAAGTTAAAAAATAACTGGTTTGGCCACGTTAATATAAGACGAAGTAGATTTTTTGTAAAAAAGAATAATACTAGGGAGAAAGATGGATATTACATATGAATGAAAAACATCGGTTTACCCAGAAAACATAATGATCTTAAACATTAGGCACCTACCAACAACGCTTAAAAATACATGAATGAAAAACGGATAGAATTGAAGAAGAAATAGACAAATCCACAATGATAGTTGAAGATCTCAAGACTCTTCCCTCAGTTACTGATAAAAACAAGTAGGAATTACATAAGTAAGGATATACAAGACCTAACAACCTTGTCAATGGATCTAACCTATTTGGCATTTGTAGATCAAGCTACACGATAGCAGCAGGATACGCATTCTCTTTAAGTACACAGGTAACATTCACAAAGATAAACCATAATATGAGCCATAAAGCAAAAATTTACAAAAATAGAAAATATAAAAATCATGTTCAGTAATATTTTAGAATGCTTAAAAACCAACCAATGAACAAAAATAAAAATCTAACAAACAAAACATCACTGACTCTACCAAATGCTGATGAAGATGTGGAGCAACATCATTGGTGGAATTGTGAAATGCTACATCTACTCAGGAAAAAAGTTTAACATTTCTTATAAAGTTAAATATATACTTGCTGTGAATTATATAACTCACTCCTGGATGATGAAGCGAAATAAAAATGTAAATATACACAAAAATCTGTACAAGAATGTTTCTTTTATTTTTATTATAATTTCCAAAGCTTAGGAAAATACTGAAGTTTGTCAATTAGTGATTGGATTTTTAAAAATTCTGATAAATCCCTACAGTGGAATACTACTTAGCAGTGAATAGGAAGGAAGAAGTAGGTTCTGGCCAGAAGATAATCAGGTAAACGTATCTGTACATAACATACAAGCATAGGAAGATTTTGAAATGTAGAAAGAAGAATGTGGCAGAATACAAAGGGGACTTTGGGACTTCAGGAACTACATGGCACTTATTTCCATGAGTTTTCTAATTAGCTTTCATATATCTTAAAAGAGTACTACAGCAGTCTCCAGTCTGGTACCAGCAACAGGCACAGGCTAAAAGAAAAATCTTGACGAAAAACCTATTTGCCTTAACCAGAAGACCAGAAAAAGGATGGCCCAACATAGCAGAAAACATTTTGCAACACCCATCCTATTCCCACCAAACACCAGAGAAAAAGCTTCTCTTCCAGACACACAATTTCAGTGAGGCCAAGAAGGCAGCTAATCTTGCACACAGCCCTGGACCCCACCAATATAGTCTGGATATTTGTTCCACCCAAATATCATGTTGGGATGTAATCCCAAGTGTTGGAGGTGGGGCCAAGTAGGAGCGTGTGAGTCATGGGGCCAGATTCCTCATGGTTGGATGCTATCCTCTTGATAGCGAGTGAGTTTGCATGAGATCCGATAGTTTAAAAGTATGCAGCACCTCCCACCTCCTCTCTTGCTCCTGCTTTCACCATGTGATGTGCCTGCTCCTGCTTCACCTTTTATCGTTAGTAAAACCTTCCTGAGGCCTCCCCAGAAGCCAAACAGGTGTCAGCACCATGCTTCCTGTACAGCCTGCAGAATCATAAACCAATCAAACCTCTTTTTAAAATAAATTACCCACCCTCAGGTATTTCTTCATAGCAATGCAAGAATGGCCCAATATACATCCCAAATCAAGATGTGACATTTTTGTCTTGATAGTGTTACTGAAACCCAGGGGCAGTAGATCTTGCATTTCCTGGCTGGTAGAAGTGGGTTCTACCACAATTCTCCCAACGACAGAGTTGTGTATGTAATGGCAATAGTACTCAGAGGCTAGATGAGCTTCTAAACTCACATAGTAGCAATCAGACTTCATGAAGCTGTGCAAGGCAGTGTTATTCACCACTATACTTCACCACCACTCATTTCTGTTAGTGGGGACTAGCGGAGAGCTGAGCTTCTACTCCCACCACACGTCAATGAAACTGAACAAAACAGTTGACTTGTTCGCTTTCTAATCATCCCTGGTGTTAGTGGAACCCACTGGGGAGCTGAACTGCTGTACCTGCCTGATATCAGTGAGGTCAGAATGGGGTGTTAAAAGGTGGGGTTTATTAGCACTCCACTTTCTTCCTTCCCCTCCCTTGGTGTCAGCTGTGTTCACTAGAGTGTTTAGCTTCCACACCCAAAAAGCAGCAACAAAGCAATGAGAGTCAGCCCTTTACTTATCTCCTTCTTGGGGACAGAAGGACACATCAGGGAGCTGACCTTACATTCCTATTTGGAGGCAAGGTGGTGGTATGTGTTAGTGACCTACTTTCACTGAGATGATATCAGCAAGGCTGAGCAGAGAGCTGAGCCTTTCCTCCATGTGTCTTTAATAAGACAGTGGGAGTCAGCATTCGAATTTGGTCAGAGTGGTGTTGGTAGGGCCCATCCAATAATTGAACAGGCACAAAATCAACAGAGGACAACATAACATGAATCATATGTTGAGGCTAACTGACAACTTTAAATCAGCTGTTACAAAAATACCTCAACAAACAGCTACTAATTTTAAAGAACTCCACAAAAAGATGTTATAAAAAACAAATGAAAATTATAGAAGTGAAAAATACCATAACTGAAATTAGAAAAAAAAAAATAAAAACCTCACTGAATGGGCTCATCCAGAGTCAAGATGACAAGGAAAGGATCAGTGAACTTGAGGACAGATCAATAGTATTTACCCAATCGGAGAAACAGAAAGAAAACAAATTGAAAACAAAAATGAAAAGCTACTCAGCACCCTGTGGGATAACAAAAAAAAACGAAATTTATATCATCAGTATCTCAAAAAGAGATCAGAGACAAAGTGGAACCAAAAAAGTGTTTAAAGAAATAATGCATATATCCTCTCAAATGTACAGGGACACATAAACCTACAGATTCAGGAGCCTGGGAGAAGTCCAAATAGAACAAACGCACACAAAAACATGCCAAGACATATCATAGTTTACGGTTTCAAATCTATAGACAAATAAAAAATCTTCAGAGCAGCCAGAGACAAAAGACACATTATTATGGGAACCCAGACATTTGAATGACAATGAATTTCTCTTCTAAAACTCTGAAGGCCAGTTTGAAGTGGAACTGGGCATTTCAGGTGTTGTAAAAATTGCCAAGTAGAAATTCTGTTTCCAGCAAAAATATTCTTCTAGAATAAAGGGGAATATAAGATATTGTCAGATGAGGAAAAACTATATGTTTTTGCTAGCAAATGCATTCTTAAAGATTGGCTAAAGGAAGATCTATAAAATAGAAAATGATAAAAGAAGGCTGGGAACTTCAAAAAGAAAAAACATCAGCATAAATTAAAATGGGCATAAATATCATATAATATCCTTGCCTTTGAGAGTTTCTTTAGTTATATTTTATGGTGAAGCAAAAATTAAAACAATATTTCACATATTGCTCAATGTATATAAAGACTTCATATGATTATATTTTTAATGTTGGAGGATAAACAGATGTAAATCAAGTAAGGATTTTACACTTCACTCAAAGTGGTAAAATGTTGATACCTGTAGACTGTGATTAACTACATATTGTAATATCTAGTGTAACAACTAAGAAAACTATACAATGTGCTATACTCAAAAACACTGTAAGTCAGTCAAGATACAACTCTAAAAAAAATCAGGTAAGTCTCAGGAAGGTATGCAAAGAAAAATGGAAGAATGACAAGCAGGAAACATAAACAGAAAGCAAATAAATAAAATGACACAATTTAGCTTTACTATCAATATAAATAATTACCTTAAAAGTAAATAGTCTTTGTATAGTAATTAAAATACATAAACAGTGTGGATGAAAAATGATTCAACAATATGCTGTCTGGCCTAACACGTTAGCTCATGCCTGTAATTCCAGCACTTTGGGAGGCCAAGGCAGGCGGATCACTTGAGGTCAAGAGTTCAAGACCAGCCTGGCCAGCATGGTGAAACTCATCTCTACTAAAAATACAAAAATTAACCAGGCGTGGTGGTGGGTGCCTGTAGTCTCAGCTATTTGAGAGGCTGAGGCAGGAGAATTGCTTGAACCCAGGAGGCGAAGGCTGCAGTGAGCTGAGATTGGGCCACTGCACTCCAGCCTGGGCAAAAGAATCTCACGTCTGTCTCAAAGAAAAAAAAAAAATATGTATGCTGTCAAAAATAAACACACTATGTGACATTGATAGAATGAAAGTAAAATAATGGAAAATATATGCCTTGAATATATTAATTTTAAAAAGCAAGAGTGACTAGCAATTGGATAAGAAGAAGAAAGGAAAGGTATCCAAATAGGAAAGGAAAAAGTAAGAGTATCTTTCTTCTAAGACTACACGATCTTGTATATGGAGAACATTAAAAATGCCACACAAAAACTCTTCTGGAATGAATCAACAAATTCAGTGAAGTTGCAGAACATAAAATCAGCTTGAAAAAATTAGGTGCATTTCTCTATGTCAATAATCAACAATAAGAAAAAGAAATTAAGGAAACAATTCCATTTCATAATAGCATGAAAAAAATACTTAGAAATAAACTTCACCAAGGAGGCAAAATACTTTTACACTGAAAACTGCAAAATATTGACCCCCCAAATTAAGGAAGACACAAATAAATGGAAAGACATTCATGTTCATGAGTTGAATAATTAATGTTGTTAAGCTGGAAATGCCAGCAAAAGAGATCTACAAATTTAATGTAATTCCTATCAAATTTTCCAATGATTTTTTAAATACCAAATTTATTCTAAAATTTATATGGAATCTAAAGGGATCCTTAATAGTCAGACCAATTTTGAGAAAAACAAAGCTGGAGACGTCACACTTCCTCATGTTAAAACTTATTACAGAGTTACAGTAATTTAACAGTGTGGTATTGGCATAAAGGAAGTCTTATAGACCAGTGAAATGGAATAGAAAGGCCAGAAATAAACTTTCATATATATGGTCAAGTTATTTTTGACAAGGGTGCTAAGACCTCTTAATGGGGAAAGACAGTCTTTTCAATAAATGATGTTGAGAAAGTTGGATATTCACATGCAAAAGAATGAAGTTGGACCCTTACTATATAAAAAAATCAATTGAAAATTGATGAAAGACTTAAATGTATGTGCTAAAACTGTAAGCCCCTTAGAAGAAAAGCTTCATGTTATTAGATATGAATTTTTTTGCTATTCCACAAAAATAAAGGACAACAAAAAAATAGATAAATTTGAGTGTATGACAATTAAGAACCTTAAGTGCATCAAGGAATGCAATCAACAGAGCCAAAGACAACCTGCTGTATAGGGGAAAAATTTGCAAAGCATATAACTGATGAGGGGTTAATATCCGGAATATGAAAAGAACTCCAACTTAACGATGAAATACAACCTAACTTAAAAACAGGCAAAGGAATTAAATAGACATTTCCGGAAAGAAAATATACAAACAACCAACAAACACATTAAAAGATTCTGAACAGTACCAATTATTAAGTAAATACAAATAAAAATCACAATGAGATACCACTTTATAACCATTAGGATTGCTACTATCAAAGTAACAGAAAATTAAAAGTGCTGACAAAGAAGTAGAAAAACCGGAACCTTTTGCGCATTGTTGGTAGTAATGTCAAATGGTGTGGCAACTATGAAAAATGGTATGGTAGTTCCTCAAAAAGTAAAAATAGAATTCTCACATGAGCCAGCAATTCCTCTTCTGGGTATATACTCAACACAATTAAAAGCAGAGTCTTGAAGATATATCAGTACACCCATGTTCATAGCAACCTTACTCACAATAGGCAAAAAGGAGAAGCAACCCAAGGGTTCATCAATAGATCGGCAAATTGAAGTATATACATACAATAAAATATTATTAAGCCTTTTCAAAGAATAAAATTCTGGCATTATACATAAATGAACCTTGAGAGCATTATGCTAGATAAAATAAGCCAGTCATAAAAAGACACATACTGTAAAATTATAATTATATGAGGTAGCTAGAGTAGTTAAATTCAAAGAGGCAAAAAGTAGAATGGTTTTTGTCAGGGTCTAGAAGAGGAGGAAGTGAGGAGTTGTGCAATGGGTATAGAGTTTCAGTTTTGCAATGTGACAATAGTTCTTGGATTCGTTGTGTGAATATACTTAACACAACTGAACTGTACAATATTGTACAATAAAAATTGGTTCAGATAGAAATTTGATGTTAGGTGTATTTTACCACGATTAAAAATAGAAAGTAGGAATAGTTATATTAATGTGGTATAAAGTAGAGATCACAGCAAGGACAGTAAATAAAGGCAAAGAAGGACTTTACATGATTATGCAAGTATCAATCCACCACAAATATATACCTATACTGACTGTGTATCAACGAAACAATAGCGCTTTCAAATACATGAAGCAAAAACTAATAGAGATGAATGAAGAAATAGACTTATTTACAATTATAGTTGGATTTAAACACTCAGCAACTGACAGAACTTCTAGACATAATATCCTCAATAATAGAATAACTGAATAATGCAACAATCAACAGTATCTAATTGACACATATAGAATAGTTCATTAAACAACAGCAGAATATATATTTATTGCATGTGTCCACAGAACGTGTACCAAGATAGACCATGTGATGGACTACAAAACAAACCTTACCAAACTTAAAATAATTGAAATTGTTGATAAATAATTAAAAGAATTGAAATGTGTTGTGTAGACAACACATTGTATGACCAAAATGGAATCAAAGGAGCAACTATAACAAAATACAAAAAAACTAAACAATTGGAAATTAAATTATGCATTTCTAAATAATTCATAATAATTCATGGGTGAAGAAGTAGTCTCAAGGGAAATAAAAAAATATGTGAACTAAATAAAAATGAAAATATACATGTTAAAACATGTGGAATACAGCTAACATTATACTGAGAGAGAAATTTATACCATTAAATGCTTACATTAGAAACAAGGAAATGTCTGAAATTAGAGACCTAATTTCTTACCTAAAGAATATAGAAAGGAAGAGAAAAATAAACCCAAAGCAAACAGAAGGAAGTAAATCATAACGATAAAAACAAAAATCAATGAAATTAAAAGCAGGAATAAAATAGGAAAATCAATTAAACAGAAAGCTATTTCTTTAAAACCGTCAACAAAATTGATAAAACTTAAGCACAACTGACAGCTTAAAAAAAAGAAGACAACAAATAAACAATATCAGGGACGAAAAAGGACATAGCATTACAGATTTTTCAGGCATTAAATGGATAAGAGAATACTGTGAACAACCGTATGCTCATAAATTCAAAAATATAGAAAAAATTGATCAATTCGTTAGAAAAACACAAACTACCAAAAATAAATTTAATAAAATTATATAGGTGATATAATTAGTCCTGCAACTAACAAAGAGAATGAATTTGTAATTTAATAAGTCTCTTGTCTGTCACCATGTGAGATGTGCCTTTCAACTTGCGCCATAATTGTGAGGCACCCAGCCATGTGGAACTGTAAGCTTATTAAACCGCTTTATTTTCTAAATTTCTCAGTCTTGGGTGTGTCTTCATGAGCAGCATGAAAATGGACCAATACAGTAAACTGGTACCAGAGACACCCTGATTTTTCAGTTCCAACCTTTAGAGCTGTGATAAATAAATGTCTATTGTTTAAGCTACCCAGTCTATAGGATTCTTTTATAGCAGCCTGAAATGACTAAGACAATTATATATGTCTATTACCTAGAAATTCTGTTCCTGAACATACACCTTAAAGAAATATAGGCAGAATTCCACAAAGGGTCATGAGCTACTAACGAGGCTCATAGCAGCATCATTAGTAGCAGTAAGGAACAGCATCAACATAGGTTACACTTAAAGGGGGAAGAAAATGAACAAGCACGATGCAACATTAAAAGCAATGAACAAGAGATGCATATAGCAGCTTAAGTCAAATGTTACACTTTCACACATGCACGTATTTAACAAAGCCATATGTTTAACAAGAATAAAAACATAGGAAAGCAAATCATTCAAACACATCAGGTGTGTCACATGCAGGTGTCTTTTGGTGGGAAAGAAATTAGTAAGAGAAACTAGGAAGGTAGAAAGAAAAATCCAATAAAATAGAGAAATAACCTTTCAAAAATCAATAATGATAATGTGGTCAGAGCCCAAGAATAGGATAAAAGTAAAGATAAAAGCAACCTTCATAAATAGACAGTTAATTCTAATCCCTTTCTATCAATTGCAGGGCTAGCAGAAATTAATGAAAATAAGCTGCCTTTAATGCCAAATGTGATAGGTAGAAAGATGTTTATTTGTGGGAACTGTCTTTTGTTTGTAGAATTACTCACCTCTCCACTGACATTGAAAGACAGCCATATTGTTTTTAGTGGGATTTTAGGTAAAATATCAAAAATAACAGCTAATGACTTAGGGAGGGAGACTTCAGAATAAACCAATGAGTAGGTGTGGCCTTGGGGAATAGATTAAAGGAAACTGTCTGCTATGTGGGCCACCACAATTGAACATGGGTATATGAGGAGGGGTGGTAGTTCATGATGGGAAGGCATAGAAGAGGCTGTCATAGAGAAGCCTCTTTTCTACCACCAGGCTATCCTTGCCTTTATATCACCCCCCCACCATCCAAAACAGAGGTGGCAGGAGTGGTACATTCTGATGACTAAGACTCCCCAGGTACCTCCCCACCCCTCTCTCACATAGAAGTGACAAGAGTAGTGCTTTGTGACGTCTTAGTGTCCCTTAGCTCTCATTGGCTGGGCGAGTGCCTTGCTGACCAATCAAAGTTGAAGGGTGTGGCCCCTCATTGTGCTGGGAGGGGTATACATAGGATGATCAGGAGCTGTGAGCAGACCACTGGGACAATTCAGTATGGCAAAGGTGACCAGTGAGCCACAGAAGCCTAATGAAGATGTGGACGAACAGACCCCATCAACCTCAAGTACCAAAGGGAGGAAGAAGGGGAAGACACCCCGTCAACGAAGGTCCAGAAGCGGCGTTAAGGTGAGATGATCCCGACCAAACCCCTTCTCTTTGCCCCACTGATTCCGCCACCCCAAGACTCCTATCCTTTCCTTGCCTCACTCAAACCCCCTCCTCAACTCACACCCTTCTCATGAAGCCTATTCCTATGCATTTCCCACCTTCTTTCCCAAAACCAACGCCCTCTGGCCTGACTGTGATCTCCCTGTAGGGCCTAAAGACCACCAGGAAGGCGAAAAGACCCCTTCGAGGGAGCTCGAGCCAAAAAGCCGGTGAAACTAACACCCCTGCAGGAAAACCTAAGAAAGCTAGAGGACCAATACTGCGTGGTCGTTATCACCGGCTGAAAGAAAAAATGAAGAAAGAAGAGGCCGACAAAGAGCAAAGCGAGACCTCAGTTCTGTGATGTCTCTAGAGGTCCGCCACTGAAAAGTCATCAATCATACAGTCAGTGAATTCTACACCAACAGGTTAAAACCATGAAAATAAAATCAACCTGAATCGAAAGGATATGTCTCTGTGACTTCTCTGATGGTGAGGAAGGAAGGAGTGAGGGGAAGAGGGAGGTGTGTGTGAGAAGGCAGGGAGGTGGCTTCTGTGGGGTTTGAGGCCAGACCAACAGGTCCACAGCTGGAAACTGGGGGGATAAGGACTGGCTCAGGACTAAGCACTGAAGATAAATTTCCTGAACACTTTTTAATACACAAAGAGTGAAAGGGGTTGGTGTTTCTACCTGTGTGTGTTTTGGTGGGGAAAGAGGGATGTGACTTCAGTGTATTGATTGTCAGAACCTGTATGGGGTGAGGTGTGTGGGTGGCAGTACTATCCCCAAAAACAGACAAGAGATAACCTGCAGGCCATCTACCTCATAATGGTAGGTATGAGGTACACCCCACCCTATGATATAAGCAACTAAATGCCCTTCAAAGGGCCAAATATCTCTAAAAGTTACCAGCAGCACCTGAAATAATGGTTACTAGATGCCACAAATCCAACACTGACTAGCCCACCTTCTTAAAAAGCTTAGGGCGGGGCAGGGCAATGGGAGTGGTCTACCTCTAGTGCGGGCAGTGAATGAGAGCATTGTCTACAGAGAATTTTAAAACAAGATAGCTCTCTCTCTCCGTCTTTTATTTTTATTTTTCCAAAGTTGTTTTTATCCCTAAAGAGAATATCATTTTTCAACAGCTTTACTGAAGTATAATTGACATATGACAAACTGCACATGCTTAAAAAGTATACAGTTTGATGAGTTTTGTCACATCTGCTCTTGTTAAACCATCACAACTATAAGAGTGAACATACCCATTACCCCCTAAAGTTTTCTCATGCCGTTTGGCAATTCTTCCCTGTCCCTACCTCCACCATCATTCTCAAAAAAACCCGCTGATTTGCTTTCTGTCACTATCTGTTTCTATTTTCTGGAGGTTTGTAAGAATGGAATCATAAGATATGTACTCTTTATTTTTTTCTAGTCCAGCTTCTTAGAACAACTATCTTTCCTTCCCAAAGATATTTTGTTTTGTTGGTCTGCTTTTTAAAAGATTGCTGTGGTCAATACGTTTTAATCATGTGTCTACGGGAGTGGTCTTAAAACAGCACAATTTCTCATTATATTTTAATGAATACTTATTGTATTCTACAAGGAAATTCATGCAGATAATTTCCTGTTATACCATTGGCCTCAGGTATCACCTGACTCAGTTGTTGCTGTTTCTTTCTAAAGCAAGCTCCTAAGGATGTGGTATTTCTTGCAGTGCACTTTGGGCCATAAGCCATGGTCCTGTATGACACACATACACCAGCATTTAAACAATATTTCTAAAACAATAATAGTACAGTCATTGATTTTAAAATAAAGGAATAAATAATCTGAGTTTTTCCTGTGCTGTCATTCCATGTGACCACTTGTTTGGATGATGCCTAAGTTAATAAAACAAAGTATGAATGGCAAGGTATAAATGTTTGAGAAGTTCAAATCTTTACTTCATTTCAACAAAAAATACTTTGTAAAATTGAACTATATCTCTAAAAGTAAAATTTATTCTTCTTTAATTGTTTAATAGTTATTTTAGAACTACAGACCAATTCAAGGAAATCAAATGTTACATATGTGGATAATTTATTAATTGACTAATTTGTCCCTTCTGCATAATTTTTGGTTTTCTTAAAGTACCATTTTATATGTTACTTTATATATGTGTATATACACATATATATGTATATATATACACATATATACACGTGTATATATGTATGTACACATATATGTATATACACACATATATACACACATATATGTACACATATATGTGTGTATATACGTATATACACATGTGTATATACGTATATACACATATATGTATATACACACATATATACACACACATATGTACACATATATGTGTACATATATGTGTGTATATATGTGTGTATATACATATATGTGTACATACATATATACACGTGTATATATGTGTATATATATACATATATATGTGTATATACACATATATAAAGTAACATATAAAATGGTACTTTAAGAAAACCAAAAATTATGCAGAAGGGACAAATTAGTCAATTAATAAATTATCCACATATGTAACATTTGATTTCCTTGAATTGGTCTGTAGTTCTAAAATAACTATTAAACAATTAAAGAAGAATAAATTTTACTTTTAGAGATATAGTTCAATTTTACAAAGTATTTTTTGTTGAAATGAAGTAAAGATTTGAACTTCTCAAACATTTATACCTTGCCATTCATACTTTGTTTTATTAACTTAGGCATCATCCAAACAAGTGGTCACATGGAATGACAGCACAGGAAAAACTCAGATTATTTATTCCTTTATTTTAAAATCAATGACTGTACTATTATTGTTTTAGAAATATTGTTTAAATGCTGGTGTATGTGTGTCATACAGGACCATGGCTTATGGCCCAAAGTGCACTGCAAGAAATACCACATCCTTAGGAGCTTGCTTTAGAAAGAAACAGCAACAACTGAGTCAGGTGATACCTGAGGCCAATGGTATAACAGGAAATTATCTGCATGAATTTCCTTGTAGAATACAATAAGTATTCATTAAAATATAATGAGAAATTGTGCTGTTTTAAGACCACTCCCGTAGACACATGATTAAAACGTATTGACCACAGCAATCTTTTAAAAAGCAGACCAACAAAACAAAATATCTTTGGGAAGGAAAGATAGTTGTTCTAAGAAGCTGGACTAGAAAAAAATAAAGAGTACATATCTTATGATTCCATTCTTACAAACCTCCAGAAAATAGAAACAGATAGTGACAGAAAGCAAATCAGCGGGTTTTTTTGAGAATGATGGTGGAGGTAGGGACAGGGAAGAATTGCCAAACGGCATGAGAAAACTTTAGGGGGTAATGGGTATGTTCACTCTTATAGTTGTGATGGTTTAACAAGAGCAGATGTGACAAAACTCATCAAACTGTATACTTTTTAAGCATGTGCAGTTTGTCATATGTCAATTATACTTCAGTAAAGCTGTTGAAAAATGATATTCTCTTTAGGGATAAAAACAACTTTGGAAAAATAAAAATAAAAGACGGAGAGAGAGAGCTATCTTGTTTTAAAATTCTCTGTAGACAATGCTCTCATTCACTGCCCGCACTAGAGGTAGACCACTCCCATTGCCCTGCCCCGCCCTAAGCTTTTTAAGAAGGTGGGCTAGTCAGTGTTGGATTTGTGGCATCTAGTAACCATTATTTCAGGTGCTGCTGGTAACTTTTAGAGATATTTGGCCCTTTGAAGGGCATTTAGTTGCTTATATCATAGGGTGGGGTGTACCTCATACCTACCATTATGAGGTAGATGGCCTGCAGGTTATCTCTTGTCTGTTTTTGGGGATAGTACTGCCACCCACACACCTCACCCCATACAGGTTCTGACAATCAATACACTGAAGTCACATCCCTCTTTCCCCACCAAAACACACACAGGTAGAAACACCAACCCCTTTCACTCTTTGTGTATTAAAAAGTGTTCAGGAAATTTATCTTCAGTGCTTAGTCCTGAGCCAGTCCTTATCCCCCCAGTTTCCAGCTGTGGACCTGTTGGTCTGGCCTCAAACCCCACAGAAGCCACCTCCCTGCCTTCTCACACACACCTCCCTCTTCCCCTCACTCCTTCCTTCCTCACCATCAGAGAAGTCACAGAGACATATCCTTTCGATTCAGGTTGATTTTATTTTCATGGTTTTAACCTGTTGGTGTAGAATTCACTGACTGTATGATTGATGACTTTTCAGTGGCGGACCTCTAGAGACATCACAGAACTGAGGTCTCGCTTTGCTCTTTGTCGGCCTCTTCTTTCTTCATTTTTTCTTTCAGCCGGTGATAACGACCACGCAGTATTGGTCCTCTAGCTTTCTTAGGTTTTCCTGCAGGGGTGTTAGTTTCACCGGCTTTTTGGCTCGAGCTCCCTCGAAGGGGTCTTTTCGCCTTCCTGGTGGTCTTTAGGCCCTACAGGGAGATCACAGTCAGGCCAGAGGGCGTTGGTTTTGGGAAAGAAGGTGGGAAATGCATAGGAATAGGCTTCATGAGAAGGGTGTGAGTTGAGGAGGGGGTTTGAGTGAGGCAAGGAAAGGATAGGAGTCTTGGGGTGGCGGAATCAGTGGGGCAAAGAGAAGGGGTTTGGTCGGGATCATCTCACCTTAACGCCGCTTCTGGACCTTCGTTGACGGGGTGTCTTCCCCTTCTTCCTCCCTTTGGTACTTGAGGTTGATGGGGTCTGTTCGTCCACATCTTCATTAGGCTTCTGTGGCTCACTGGTCACCTTTGCCATACTGAATTGTCCCAGTGGTCTGCTCACAGCTCCTGATCATCCTATGTATACCCCTCCCAGCACAATGAGGGGCCACACCCTTCAACTTTGATTGGTCAGCAAGGCACTCGCCCAGCCAATGAGAGCTAAGGGACACTAAGACGTCACAAAGCACTACTCTTGTCACTTCTATGTGAGAGAGGGGTGGGGAGGTACCTGGGGAGTCTTAGTCATCAGAATGTACCACTCCTGCCACCTCTGTTTTGGATGGTGGGGGGGTGATATAAAGGCAAGGATAGCCTGGTGGTAGAAAAGAGGCTTCTCTATGACAGCCTCTTCTATGCCTTCCCATCATGAACTACCACCCCTCCTCATATACCCATGTTCAATTGTGGTGGCCCACATAGCAGACAGTTTCCTTTAATCTATTCCCCAAGGCCACACCTACTCATTGGTTTATTCTGAAGTCTCCCTCCCTAAGTCATTAGCTGTTATTTTTGATATTTTACCTAAAATCCCACTAAAAACAATATGGCTGTCTTTCAATGTCAGTGGAGAGGTGAGTAATTCTACAAACAAAAGACAGTTCCCACAAATAAACATCTTTCTACCTATCACATTTGGCATTAAAGGCAGCTTATTTTCATTAATTTCTGCTAGCCCTGCAATTGATAGAAAGGGATTAGAATTAACTGTCTATTTATGAAGGTTGCTTTTATCTTTACTTTTATCCTATTCTTGGGCTCTGACCACATTATCATTATTGATTTTTGAAAGGTTATTTCTCTATTTTATTGGATTTTTCTTTCTACCTTCCTAGTTTCTCTTACTAATTTCTTTCCCACCAAAAGACACCTGCATGTGACACACCTGATGTGTTTGAATGATTTGCTTTCCTATGTTTTTATTCTTGTTAAACATATGGCTTTGTTAAATACGTGCATGTGTGAAAGTGTAACATTTGACTTAAGCTGCTATATGCATCTCTTGTTCATTGCTTTTAATGTTGCATCGTGCTTGTTCATTTTCTTCCCCCTTTAAGTGTAACCTATGTTGATGCTGTTCCTTACTGCTACTAATGATGCTGCTATGAGCCTCGTTAGTAGCTCATGACCCTTTGTGGAATTCTGCCTATATTTCTTTAAGGTGTATGTTCAGGAACAGAATTTCTAGGTAATAGACATATATAATTGTCTTAGTCATTTCAGGCTGCTATAAAAGAATCCTATAGACTGGGTAGCTTAAACAATAGACATTTATTTATCACAGCTCTAAAGGTTGGAACTGAAAAATCAGGGTGTCTCTGGTACCAGTTTACTGTATTGGTCCATTTTCATGCTGCTCATGAAGACACACCCAAGACTGAGAAATTTAGAAAATAAAGCGGTTTAATAAGCTTACAGTTCCACATGGCTGGGTGCCTCACAATTATGGCGCAAGTTGAAAGGCACATCTCACATGGTGACAGACAAGAGACTTATTAAATTACAAATTCATTCTCTTTGTTAGTTGCAGGACTAATTATATCACCTATATAATTTTATTAAATTTATTTTTGGTAGTTTGTGTTTTTCTAACGAATTGATCAATTTTTTCTATATTTTTGAATTTATGAGCATACGGTTGTTCACAGTATTCTCTTATCCATTTAATGCCTGAAAAATCTGTAATGCTATGTCCTTTTTCGTCCCTGATATTGTTTATTTGTTGTCTTCTTTTTTTTAAGCTGTCAGTTGTGCTTAAGTTTTATCAATTTTGTTGACGGTTTTAAAGAAATAGCTTTCTGTTTAATTGATTTTCCTATTTTATTCCTGCTTTTAATTTCATTGATTTTTGTTTTTATCGTTATGATTTACTTCCTTCTGTTTGCTTTGGGTTTATTTTTCTCTTCCTTTCTATATTCTTTAGGTAAGAAATTAGGTCTCTAATTTCAGACATTTCCTTGTTTCTAATGTAAGCATTTAATGGTATAAATTTCTCTCTCAGTATAATGTTAGCTGTATTCCACATGTTTTAACATGTATATTTTCATTTTTATTTAGTTCACATATTTTTTTATTTCCCTTGAGACTACTTCTTCACCCATGAATTATTATGAATTATTTAGAAATGCATAATTTAATTTCCAATTGTTTAGTTTTTTTGTATTTTGTTATAGTTGCTCCTTTGATTCCATTTTGGTCATACAATGTGTTGTCTACACAACACATTTCAATTCTTTTAATTATTTATCAACAATTTCAATTATTTTAAGTTTGGTAAGGTTTGTTTTGTAGTCCATCACATGGTCTATCTTGGTACACGTTCTGTGGACACATGCAATAAATATATATTCTGCTGTTGTTTAATGAACTATTCTATATGTGTCAATTAGATACTGTTGATTGTTGCATTATTCAGTTATTCTATTATTGAGGATATTATGTCTAGAAGTTCTGTCAGTTGCTGAGTGTTTAAATCCAACTATAATTGTAAATAAGTCTATTTCTTCATTCATCTCTATTAGTTTTTGCTTCATGTATTTGAAAGCGCTATTGTTTCGTTGATACACAGTCAGTATAGGTATATATTTGTGGTGGATTGATACTTGCATAATCATGTAAAGTCCTTCTTTGCCTTTATTTACTGTCCTTGCTGTGATCTCTACTTTATACCACATTAATATAACTATTCCTACTTTCTATTTTTAATCGTGGTAAAATACACCTAACATCAAATTTCTATCTGAACCAATTTTTATTGTACAATATTGTACAGTTCAGTTGTGTTAAGTATATTCACACAACGAATCCAAGAACTATTGTCACATTGCAAAACTGAAACTCTATACCCATTGCACAACTCCTCACTTCCTCCTCTTCTAGACCCTGACAAAAACCATTCTACTTTTTGCCTCTTTGAATTTAACTACTCTAGCTACCTCATATAATTATAATTTTACAGTATGTGTCTTTTTATGACTGGCTTATTTTATCTAGCATAATGCTCTCAAGGTTCATTTATGTATAATGCCAGAATTTTATTCTTTGAAAAGGCTTAATAATATTTTATTGTATGTATATACTTCAATTTGCCGATCTATTGATGAACCCTTGGGTTGCTTCTCCTTTTTGCCTATTGTGAGTAAGGTTGCTATGAACATGGGTGTACTGATATATCTTCAAGACTCTGCTTTTAATTGTGTTGAGTATATACCCAGAAGAGGAATTGCTGGCTCATGTGAGAATTCTATTTTTACTTTTTGAGGAACTACCATACCATTTTTCATAGTTGCCACACCATTTGACATTACTACCAACAATGCGCAAAAGGTTCCGGTTTTTCTACTTCTTTGTCAGCACTTTTAATTTTCTGTTACTTTGATAGTAGCAATCCTAATGGTTATAAAGTGGTATCTCATTGTGATTTTTATTTGTATTTACTTAATAATTGGTACTGTTCAGAATCTTTTAATGTGTTTGTTGGTTGTTTGTATATTTTCTTTCCGGAAATGTCTATTTAATTCCTTTGCCTGTTTTTAAGTTAGGTTGTATTTCATCGTTAAGTTGGAGTTCTTTTCATATTCCGGATATTAACCCCTCATCAGTTATATGCTTTGCAAATTTTTCCCCTATACAGCAGGTTGTCTTTGGCTCTGTTGATTGCATTCCTTGATGCACTTAAGGTTCTTAATTGTCATACACTCAAATTTATCTATTTTTTTGTTGTCCTTTATTTTTGTGGAATAGCAAAAAAATTCATATCTAATAACATGAAGCTTTTCTTCTAAGGGGCTTACAGTTTTAGCACATACATTTAAGTCTTTCATCAATTTTCAATTGATTTTTTTATATAGTAAGGGTCCAACTTCATTCTTTTGCATGTGAATATCCAACTTTCTCAACATCATTTATTGAAAAGACTGTCTTTCCCCATTAAGAGGTCTTAGCACCCTTGTCAAAAATAACTTGACCATATATATGAAAGTTTATTTCTGGCCTTTCTATTCCATTTCACTGGTCTATAAGACTTCCTTTATGCCAATACCACACTGTTAAATTACTGTAACTCTGTAATAAGTTTTAACATGAGGAAGTGTGACGTCTCCAGCTTTGTTTTTCTCAAAATTGGTCTGACTATTAAGGATCCCTTTAGATTCCATATAAATTTTAGAATAAATTTGGTATTTAAAAAATCATTGGAAAATTTGATAGGAATTACATTAAATTTGTAGATCTCTTTTGCTGGCATTTCCAGCTTAACAACATTAATTATTCAACTCATGAACATGAATGTCTTTCCATTTATTTGTGTCTTCCTTAATTTGGGGGGTCAATATTTTGCAGTTTTCAGTGTAAAAGTATTTTGCCTCCTTGGTGAAGTTTATTTCTAAGTATTTTTTTCATGCTATTATGAAATGGAATTGTTTCCTTAATTTCTTTTTCTTATTGTTGATTATTGACATAGAGAAATGCACCTAATTTTTTCAAGCTGATTTTATGTTCTGCAACTTCACTGAATTTGTTGATTCATTCCAGAAGAGTTTTTGTGTGGCATTTTTAATGTTCTCCATATACAAGATCGTGTAGTCTTAGAAGAAAGATACTCTTACTTTTTCCTTTCCTATTTGGATACCTTTCCTTTCTTCTTCTTATCCAATTGCTAGTCACTCTTGCTTTTTAAAATTAATATATTCAAGGCATATATTTTCCATTATTTTACTTTCATTCTATCAATGTCACATAGTGTGTTTATTTTTGACAGCATACATATTTTTTTTTTTTCTTTGAGACAGACGTGAGATTCTTTTGCCCAGGCTGGAGTGCAGTGGCCCAATCTCAGCTCACTGCAGCCTTCGCCTCCTGGGTTCAAGCAATTCTCCTGCCTCAGCCTCTCAAATAGCTGAGACTACAGGCACCCACCACCACGCCTGGTTAATTTTTGTATTTTTAGTAGAGATGAGTTTCACCATGCTGGCCAGGCTGGTCTTGAACTCTTGACCTCAAGTGATCCGCCTGCCTTGGCCTCCCAAAGTGCTGGAATTACAGGCATGAGCTAACGTGTTAGGCCAGACAGCATATTGTTGAATCATTTTTCATCCACACTGTTTATGTATTTTAATTACTATACAAAGACTATTTACTTTTAAGGTAATTATTTATATTGATAGTAAAGCTAAATTGTGTCATTTTATTTATTTGCTTTCTGTTTATGTTTCCTGCTTGTCATTCTTCCATTTTTCTTTGCATACCTTCCTGAGACTTACCTGATTTTTTTTAGAGTTGTATCTTGACTGACTTACAGTGTTTTTGAGTATAGCACATTGTATAGTTTTCTTAGTTGTTACACTAGATATTACAATATGTAGTTAATCACAGTCTACAGGTATCAACATTTTACCACTTTGAGTGAAGTGTAAAATCCTTACTTGATTTACATCTGTTTATCCTCCAACATTAAAAATATAATCATATGAAGTCTTTATATACATTGAGCAATATGTGAAATATTGTTTTAATTTTTGCTTCACCATAAAATATAACTAAAGAAACTCTCAAAGGCAAGGATATTATATGATATTTATGCCCATTTTAATTTATGCTGATGTTTTTTCTTTTTGAAGTTCCCAGCCTTCTTTTATCATTTTCTATTTTATAGATCTTCCTTTAGCCAATCTTTAAGAATGCATTTGCTAGCAAAAACATATAGTTTTTCCTCATCTGACAATATCTTATATTCCCCTTTATTCTAGAAGAATATTTTTGCTGGAAACAGAATTTCTACTTGGCAATTTTTACAACACCTGAAATGCCCAGTTCCACTTCAAACTGGCCTTCAGAGTTTTAGAAGAGAAATTCATTGTCATTCAAATGTCTGGGTTCCCATAATAATGTGTCTTTTGTCTCTGGCTGCTCTGAAGATTTTTTATTTGTCTATAGATTTGAAACCGTAAACTATGATATGTCTTGGCATGTTTTTGTGTGCGTTTGTTCTATTTGGACTTCTCCCAGGCTCCTGAATCTGTAGGTTTATGTGTCCCTGTACATTTGAGAGGATATATGCATTATTTCTTTAAACACTTTTTTGGTTCCACTTTGTCTCTGATCTCTTTTTGAGATACTGATGATATAAATTTCGTTTTTTTTTGTTATCCCACAGGGTGCTGAGTAGCTTTTCATTTTTGTTTTCAATTTGTTTTCTTTCTGTTTCTCCGATTGGGTAAATACTATTGATCTGTCCTCAAGTTCACTGATCCTTTCCTTGTCATCTTGACTCTGGATGAGCCCATTCAGTGAGGTTTTTATTTTTTTTTTTCTAATTTCAGTTATGGTATTTTTCACTTCTATAATTTTCATTTGTTTTTTATAACATCTTTTTGTGGAGTTCTTTAAAATTAGTAGCTGTTTGTTGAGGTATTTTTGTAACAGCTGATTTAAAGTTGTCAGTTAGCCTCAACATATGATTCATGTTATGTTGTCCTCTGTTGATTTTGTGCCTGTTCAATTATTGGATGGGCCCTACCAACACCACTCTGACCAAATTCGAATGCTGACTCCCACTGTCTTATTAAAGACACATGGAGGAAAGGCTCAGCTCTCTGCTCAGCCTTGCTGATATCATCTCAGTGAAAGTAGGTCACTAACACATACCACCACCTTGCCTCCAAATAGGAATGTAAGGTCAGCTCCCTGATGTGTCCTTCTGTCCCCAAGAAGGAGATAAGTAAAGGGCTGACTCTCATTGCTTTGTTGCTGCTTTTTGGGTGTGGAAGCTAAACACTCTAGTGAACACAGCTGACACCAAGGGAGGGGAAGGAAGAAAGTGGAGTGCTAATAAACCCCACCTTTTAACACCCCATTCTGACCTCACTGATATCAGGCAGGTACAGCAGTTCAGCTCCCCAGTGGGTTCCACTAACACCAGGGATGATTAGAAAGCGAACAAGTCAACTGTTTTGTTCAGTTTCATTGACGTGTGGTGGGAGTAGAAGCTCAGCTCTCCGCTAGTCCCCACTAACAGAAATGAGTGGTGGTGAAGTATAGTGGTGAATAACACTGCCTTGCACAGCTTCATGAAGTCTGATTGCTACTATGTGAGTTTAGAAGCTCATCTAGCCTCTGAGTACTATTGCCATTACATACACAACTCTGTCGTTGGGAGAATTGTGGTAGAACCCACTTCTACCAGCCAGGAAATGCAAGATCTACTGCCCCTGGGTTTCAGTAACACTATCAAGACAAAAATGTCACATCTTGATTTGGGATGTATATTGGGCCATTCTTGCATTGCTATGAAGAAATACCTGAGGGTGGGTAATTTATTTTAAAAAGAGGTTTGATTGGTTTATGATTCTGCAGGCTGTACAGGAAGCATGGTGCTGACACCTGTTTGGCTTCTGGGGAGGCCTCAGGAAGGTTTTACTAACGATAAAAGGTGAAGCAGGAGCAGGCACATCACATGGTGAAAGCAGGAGCAAGAGAGGAGGTGGGAGGTGCTGCATACTTTTAAACTATCGGATCTCATGCAAACTCACTCGCTATCAAGAGGATAGCATCCAACCATGAGGAATCTGGCCCCATGACTCACACGCTCCTACTTGGCCCCACCTCCAACACTTGGGATTACATCCCAACATGATATTTGGGTGGAACAAATATCCAGACTATATTGGTGGGGTCCAGGGCTGTGTGCAAGATTAGCTGCCTTCTTGGCCTCACTGAAATTGTGTGTCTGGAAGAGAAGCTTTTTCTCTGGTGTTTGGTGGGAATAGGATGGGTGTTGCAAAATGTTTTCTGCTATGTTGGGCCATCCTTTTTCTGGTCTTCTGGTTAAGGCAAATAGGTTTTTCGTCAAGATTTTTCTTTTAGCCTGTGCCTGTTGCTGGTACCAGACTGGAGACTGCTGTAGTACTCTTTTAAGACATATGAAAGCTAATTAGAAAACTCATGGAAATAAGTGCCATGTAGTTCCTGAAGTCTCAAAGTCCCCTTTGTATTCTGCCACATTCTTCTTTCTACATTTCAAAATCTTCTTATGCTTGCATGTTATGTACAGATATTTTTACCTGATTATCTTTACCTGATATACACACATGTATATGTATGTATATACACATATATATGTGTATATACATACATATATATGTGTGTATATACATACATGTATGTGTATATACACATACATGTATGTGTATATACACATACATATATGTGTATTTATGTGTATATATACATATATATTATGTGTATATATGTATACATGTATATATGTATACATATACATGTATATATGTATACATGTATATATGTATACATATACATGTATATATGTATACATGTATATATGTATACATATACATGTATATATGTATATATGTATACATATACATGTATATATGTATACATACACGTATGTATACATATACATGTATATATGTATACATACACGTGTGTGTGTATATACATACATATATGTATACATACACGTGTGTGTGTATATACATACATATATGTATACATACACGTGTGTGTATATACATACATATATGTATACATACACGTGTGTGTATATACATACATATATGTATACATACACGTGTGTGTGTATATACATACATATATGTATACATACACGTGTGTGTGTATATACATACATATATGTATACATACACGTGTGTGTGTATATACATACATATATGTATACATACACGTGTGTGTGTATATACATACATATATGTATACATACACGTGTGTGTGTATATACATACATATATGTATACATACACGTGTGTGTGTATATACATACATATATGTATACATACACGTGTGTGTGTATATACATACATATATGTATACATACACGTGTGTGTGTATATACATACATATATGTATACATACACGTGTGTGTGTATATACATACATATATGTATATATATGTGTATATATACATATATATGTGTGTATATACATATATGTAATGCTCACTGGAAACACACCATATTTCTTTATTAATCCTTATTATTTCTTGTTTTAATTTATGGTTATCACTGAAAATGTGTTCTAATGAGTAGGGGGCATTAAAAAGCATTCCCCATTTGGTTTTAAATACACTAATTAGGTCAAAGGTAGAAGACTTTTTTTCTTCAAATACTTCACACTTTGGTCCTAGTGTCTGGCATCTTTTGGTTTTTTTTAAACAGCTTTATTCAGATATACCTGACTATAATATACAATTAATTAGAGTCGGCACATATACACCTGTGAAAACATCACCACAATTCAAATAAGAACACTATCCATGACTGCATCAGGTGTTTTCTTTTCTTTTCTTTTTTTTTTTTTTTTTTGCCACCTTGTGTTTTTTCCTCCCACTTCTTCCCAATTCCCAATTCCCAATCACTGATCTGCCTTCTGCCTCTACAGGTTAGTTTACAATTCTAGCGTTGCATATTAATGGGATCAGATTATGTACTTAATTTTATCTAGCCTCTTCCATTCAGCATAATTTTGAGTGTCATCAATGTTGTTGCATACATCAGTATTATATTCTTTTTATGTTATTTTTTATTATTTTGTCAAGTATCAGCACTAAAACAATACCCCAAAGTAGCTTGAATTTTATTTTTTCACGATAATTGTAGATTTACAGGCAACTGTGAGAAATAGAGAGATGCCTTATACCGTTCACCCAGATTCTCCTGATGGTAATGTCTGCTATAAACATAGTACAACAATAGCTTATCTGGACTGGGGAAACCAGGGCTTTGTGAGTCAGGAAAATATTATTTCCCTCATGCATATTTAAATAGTGTAGCCATGAATTATGCAGCCAAAACGGACTGTAATAACATATAAGAGAAAAAAATACCATTTAGAGAAACCAACAAAGTGGACCTGTGTTAATACTAAAATTAAAAGCATGATTTAACTGTAGAAAAATTGCTGAGATTTAAGAGGCAACAAGGCTAGTGGTTGGTGGGTAGGAGGAAGAAAATACTACACACACACACACACACACACACACACACAAACACAGTAAATATAGAAAATACTATGTATGTATAGTATATAGTATATATATATAGAAATATATGTAGTATAGAGTATATATGGTATATATATATGAGAATATATACTATATATAGAAAATACTATACATACGAGTGTGCATATATAAATATGTGATCAACTATTAAGAAAAAGACAACAAGGTACTTTTAAGAAAGTTCTTGCTCAAACAGGAAAGATTTTGTCCTGTCAACCCTGTCCAAAATGTTTAAGAGAAGGAAAAAGTAATTATAAAATAAAAATGTATTTATATGAACCTGGAAACCTGTGCTTTGTGGTCAAGTTAATTAAAACCTGACCCTGCAAACATCAAAAAAGGAAAGAAAATGGGCAGCAGGCATGAATACACATTTCAATGAAGGTGATACAAAAATAGAAAATTGGCACATAAAAAGATGTCCAGCAATAACAGCCATCAGGGAAATACAGATGTAAACACCAATGTGATCATGCGCATTATAATAATCCATAAATACCTTAAAAATTAACACAATGATAACAACAAATGCTGTTGAGAATGCAGAGAAATTGTAGCACTCTTAGATTGCTGGTGGGCTTGTCAAATGGTACTCCCAACAGGAAAGGTATATGACAGTTTCTTACAAAACTTAACATGACATCACCATGTTACCCAGCAGTTTTGCTCTTGAGCACTTATTCCAAAAAAAAGAAAACGTAACTTCATAGAAAAACCTATACAGGAATGACTATACCAGTTTTATTGTATTAATGATAATCTAAAGTTGGAAACAACTAAAGTATTCTCCAATAAATGAATATTTAAACAAACTGTGGTACATCTATAGCACAGAATATTACTTACCAATAAAACAAACAAATAAACAAAAACAACTATGATGCACACAGCAACTTGATAGATGAGCCTATTCAGTGAGTTTTTTTCCTTCTAATTTCGGTTACTGTATTTGTCACTTCTATAATTTTCAATTTTTTTATAACATCTTTTTCGTGAAGTTCTTTAAAATTAGTAGTTGCTCATTGAAGTGTTTTTGTGATGGCTGATTTAAAGTTGTTGTCAGTTAGCCTCAACATATGATTCATGTTATGTTGTCCTCTGTTGATTTTGTGCCTGTTCAATTATTGGATGGGCCCTACCAACACCACTCTGACCAAATTTGAATGCTGACTCCCACTGTCTTATTAAAGACACATGGAGGAAAGGCTCAGCTCTCTGCTCAGCCTTGCTGATATCGTCTCAGTGAAAGTAGGTCACTAACACATACCACCACATTTCAAAATCTTCTTATGCTTGCATGTTATGTACAGATATTTTTACCTGATTATCTTCTGGCCAGAACCTACTTCTTCCTTCCTATTCACTGCTAAGTAGTATTCCACTGTAGGGATTTATCAGAATTTTTAAAAATCCAATCACTAATTGGTGAACTTCAGTTTTTCTCTAAGCTTTGGAAATTATAATAAAGATAAAAGAAACATTCGTGTACAGATATTTTTGTATATTTACATTTTTATTTCTCTTCATCATCCAGGAGTGAGTTATATAATTCACAGCAAGTATATATTTAACTTTATAAGAAATGTTAAACTTTTTTCCTGAGTAGATGTAGCATTTCACAATTCCACCAATGATGTTGCTCCACATCTTCATCAGTATATGGTAGAGTCAGTGTTTTTTTTTCTGATTGTTAGTTTTTTATTGTTGTTGTTCATTGGTTTCTTTTTAAGCATTCTAAAATATTACTGAACATGATTTTTATATTTTCTATTTTTGTAACTTTTTGCTTTATGGCCCATATTATGGTTTATCTTTGTGAATGTTACATGTGTACTTAAAGAGAATGCATATTCTGGTACTATTGTGTAGCTTGATCTACAAATGTCAAATAGGTTAGAACCATTGACAAGGTTTTGTTAGGTCTTGTATATCCTTACTTATGTGATTCCTACTTGTTTTTGTCAGTAACTGAGGGAAGAGTCTTTAGATCTTCAACTCTAATTGTGGCTTTGTCTTTTCTTCTTCAATTCTATTAATTTTTCATTCATGTATTTTTAAGCGTCATTGGTAGGTGCTTAAATGTTTAAGATCATTATGTTTTCTGGGTAAAACGATGGTTTTTATTCCTATGCAATATCCATCTTTCCCCCTGGTAATATTCTTTTTTTTTCAAAAAAATTACTTCATCTTATATTAATGTGGCCAATCCAGTTATTTTTTAACTTGAGGTTTTATGGTAAATATGTTTCCATCCTTTTAATTTTAAACTATCTACATCTTTATATTTAAAAGAACATTATTCCATATAACCATTAGTTATGTCTTATTCTATGTCCCATCTGGAAACTTCTTTCATTTAAATTGGGATATTTTAACAATTTATATGTAATCCAGTTATTGATATAGTTGGATATTCTTCTACCAACTTACTAGTTGTTTTCTACTTGTTCCATTTGTTACTTACTCTTTATTACCATTTCTGCCCAGACTAAATGAATGTTCTTTATGATTCTGCTTTAAGTACACTGTTAGCTTATTGTTTATACCTATGTTTTTAGTTAGTTTCCTAAGTTTTCCAGTACACACAATTAGCATATCGCAGTGTATATTCAAATGTTATTCTACTTCATATGTATTAATAGTAAGAAAGGTACCATGTAGATCCAGTTTTTACCTGTTATTGTTTGTGCTATTACTTATTTGTTTTATTTGTATAGCTCAATATATTGTTACTACTTTTACTTTAGAAAGTCAGTTGTTTTTAGTAAAATTAAACATAAGAAATAATGTTTTGTATAATGATATTTATTTTTATCTTCTCTGGAGGTTTTCAATTATTTCTTTCCTTTTTTTTTTTTTTTTTTTTTTGAGATGGAGTCTCAGTCTGCCACTTAGGCTGGAATACGGTGGCATGATCTCGGCTCATTGCAACCTCTGCCTCCTGGGTTCATGCAATTCTCCTGCCTCAGACTCCTGAATAGCTGGGACTACAGATGTGTTCCACCATGTCCAGCTAATTTTTGTATTTTCAGTAGAGATGGGATTTCACTATGTTGGCCAGGCTGGTCTCGAACTCCTGACCTCAAGTGATCCACGTGCCTTGGCCTCCCAAAGTCCTGGGATTACAGGTGTGAGCCACAGCGCCTGGCCTGGAGCTTTTTATTTCTTTGTGTAGATTCAAATTCCTGCTTGATATCATGCTTCTTCTGCTTTAAGAACTTCCTTTATCATTGCTTGTAGTGCATCTCTCCTAGAAGAACATCTCTCAGCTATTTTTGTCTAAAAGTATATTTGATTTCATGTTCCATATTTAAAAATGTTCAATAAGCATAGAATTCTGGATTGACAGCTTTATTGTATTAATACATCAAAAATGACAATTTACTTTTTTCTTATTTTCATTGTTTCTGGGGAGACGTCTGTAATAATGCTCATTTGTTACTCTTAATGTAATTTGATTTTTCTCTCTGTTTTGTAGCAGAGAGAGAGAAAGATATGGGGAAATAAGAGAAAAAGAAACAGAGAGATGTAGTTATGTATCTTGCTTGCATTTGTGGATTGAATGTCTTCCTTTATTTCTGGAAAATTCTTGACCGTTGTCTCTTCAAATATTTTATTTGCATTTTTCCTTTTTTCTTTTCCTGGAATTACAACTACACTGATAACGTATATGTTAGATTTTTTGATATTGCCTCAGAGCTCTTGAATATTCTGTTCTCCTCCGTTTTTACATACTCCTTTTATTTTATTTTATTTTATTTATTTATTTTGAGATGGAGTTTCACTCTCGTCGCCCAGGCTGGAGTACAATGGTGTGATCTCGGCTCACTGCAATCTCTGTCTCTTGGGTTCAAGTGATTCTCCTGTCTCAGCATCCCGAGGGGCTGGGATTACAGGCGCCCACCACCACGCCCAGCTAATTTTTGTATATTTAATAGAGACGGGCTTTCACCATGTTGGTCAGGATAGTCTCGAACTCCTGACCTCAGGTGATCTTCGTGCCTTGGCCTCCCAAAGTGCTAGGATTACAGGCATGAGCCACCACGCCTGGCCAAAATTCAGTATGGATCTTAAATGTTTGCATGCTCATGGTAAAAAGTAAAATCACCATCACGTGATTAAAATTAACTTTTGAAGTGAAAGATCTGTAGAGAAGATTATTAAATATTTCTTTATAAATTAATAGTTTTACTGAGAATTTACTACATTTGATATGAAAATTAAATAGAACACTTTAAGTAACTTGCTATGAGATGTTAGGCAAATCATTTAGGGTAGGAAGATTTCTACCATTTTCACAGATAATTAAAGGATTTACTGATTGAGTAACGCAGGTAGTATTAAGAGCAATATTAGTCGTAATAGTCTTAATGGGGATTAGGATAATAAAATTATAAAAAGAATAAACACTAAATGGCTCCTTTGCTTGCGTGTAATATGCTAAGAAACTTTAGGCAAAATAGCTCATTTCAACATCACAACAAACATGTGGCATAAAACTACTATAAATTAATGCTACAGATTCGTGATGCAAATCAAATGAGGTGACATATTAAAATACCTTTGGGGCCGGGTGCAGTGGCTCATGTCTGTAATCCCAGCAGTTTGGGAGGCCAAGGCAGGTAGATCACCTGAGGTCATGAGTTCGAGTACAGCCTGGCTGGCCAACATGGTGAAATGCTGTCTCTAGTAAAAATACAAAAAAAAAAATTGGCTGGATGTTCACCTGTAGTCACAGCTACTCGAGAGGCTGAGGCAGGAGAATCGCTTGAACCCAGGAGGTGGAGGTTGCAGTGAGCCGAGATTGCTCCACTGCACTCCAGCCTGGTTGACAGAGCAAGACTCTGTCTCAATGAAAAAAAAAAAAATAACTTTGGAACCTGAAAAGAAAAAGAGCAGCAGGAGCCATTATATTATTACTACATAGGAAAACAAAACAGATATAGTATGGCATGTTGATTTTCTGCTTACAACCTACTATCTAAAAGTAAGTAGGTTCTATGAGTAATTCTTATTAGATAAAATTAACTACCACTATGAAATTACCTTTTTCTAACCACAGTCACACACACACAAATGCAAGCACATACTAACTTATTTACACACAAAAATATTTAGCCTCTTCTATTGAGATTTGATATGTGTTTGTTGAACTATGTGGAAGGTTTTAATATTAGGGTACAATGCAGTTAATTTTGTCACTAGGGAGCTATGGAAAATAGGTTGGTTTCCATATATTTACACAGAATAACACATATATATTTCCTATAATTTTTCTGTATAGTTCTGTTTTCTAGAAACAACTATAGAATTTTCACTAGCAATTGATAGTAAAACAATATTTAAAAATATAGAAACAAATTTATTATATTCGCATTGTGCATAATGTAAAAGTTGAAGACAATTATTCTACATTTGCCAAAATTTCCCTTCAGTTAAATAATGATTAGAAATATACGATATCATAATAATATTAGTCATTATTGATATTTATTTAATGCTTATTAACCTGTCAGTTTTATAGTTTAGTAGCCAATGGTGGATTATTTTATCTAATCTCCACAAATCTCTAACAATATTGATTTTATATTATGTTGTTTGAATACTGAATTAGGTATAATATTTAAAATACTCTTATAAACTTAGAAGTGAGAGATATACTCATGCTGCTAAATTACAATGTTTGCACACCTACTAAATCAAAATAGTGGAAATCAAATTGTGATTTCCTTTTCAAAGACTCTTAACCAATGCCCCAAATATTAGATTTTCAATACTCTTTCCTATTAATTAAGGTAAATTTCCACTATTCAGTTGTCTCAGGTTGATGCCCAGTGGTTGACTGGAATTCAAGTGGCTGCCAAGATCCAGCTCTATCAACTAGAGGCAGTTGCTCCAGTCCATGGGTAATTTTTAGTTAGCCTCCACATAAAGTCTGAATGAAAACCTCATAGATTTACCATTAAAATATACTGGTAAGAGGTTTGGCAACAGACAGAAGTAAAGTATATGATGGATCTGTAATATACACATTTTAAAATATGTCATTAGATAAAATTGTGATAAAGAGTTATAACAAAACAGAATGAGCAGATAAAATGCTATTGAATAAATATGAATTTCACATTGAAAAATCAAGATTCCATTTAGCAACAATTAACTCTTCCCATAAGAAATTGCTTATGGTTTCCAGAGGTTAATTTTAAAATCTACTTTGAATAAAATTCATGAGGTAGATACTTGGAATCAAAATGGGATGTGAAGAGAAAACTATGTATGTAATGAGAGATTATTAAGTATTGCTTTATAAACCACTATTGCATTTCAATGCTTTGACTATGAAATATTAATTTTTATATAAAAATATAAATAAAAATGTATTTTTTCTGAATCACTTTCTGTGAGATATTAGCAACTCTTTCAGGCTCTAGAAATCCTAAAATTCTCCACCCATGAATATTCCATAAGTGGAACCTAGTCTTTTATCTTTGGTTATATTAATGTCAGTGATAGCAGCAGGAGGCAGACAAATCCTGGGAAGACAGGGCCAGGTCCCAGGTGAAACCTGACCTTCAAGCTGAAGGCAGTTTAAAGCTTAGCTACAAGTCCCAGATAAATCCATGGACTGGATTTAGAATCTCTCTTCCCATTTGGCATGCTTTCCTCTGATTGATCCCCACCCTTTACCTATTTTACATATACGTATCCTTCCCTAATTGATTTTTTACAGTCATGGCCATCTTTAAGTGGTGCCTTTGTTTCAGACGCTTTTGCATACTCACAAACCAATCAGCACACACTCCCCCATTCTGAGCCCATAAAAGCCCTGGACCCAGCCACACTGGGAGAGAGACTTCCCGACTTTCGGTGGGGTACCACAATCACATTCCCCCTCTGCTGAGAGCTGTTTCATCACTCAATAAAACTCTTCTCCACCCTTCTCATTCTCCAGTTGTCACCATAATCTCATTCTTCTTGGACAAGGGACAGGAACTCAGGACCCTGCCAAACTTGGGCACAAAGAAGGCAGTAACACCATAGACCACCCCCCTGTTTGCACACAACAGCCGCCCCATGTGACAGGAAGCAGCAGCAAGGCAGAGCCAACCCCAGAGCTGTGGGCTGGAATGGGGCAACAGGATTGACAGAGCTGTTAACATGCCCCTGTTCAATGGGCTGCAGACAGCAAGACTAAAAGAGCTGTTAGCACACTGTAACACCCCCGCTGGGGCTTTAGGGTCACAGACATTCCTGTTTGGGTGCCACCATGTTCCCTTTGTTGAGACACTGGAGTCCACCATGAGAATCACTTGCAACATGCCTGGTTCAGCCACAAGCCCCACACAGAGCCCACTCCTGTGCCACTCTTGGAGCAGCCATCTGGACCCTGCACTCACTCACTTACATACCCCCTCCTGCTGCAGGCTGAGCGCACAGTTGTGGTGACCATGGAATCCACACAGAAGTGCAAGCCAGGTGCGGCCCAGTGGGTCAGGTGGGCAGGGTGCCTCCTGTGCTGAGACCATGCCTGACAGTGGCCCAGGCAGGGGTGTTGCCAGCCACGAACATCTCTGGCTGGCAAAGTGGCACTGAAGAAAAATCCGGCATCATTAGCATATTTCAAAATGTTCTTTCCCTTCTTTAGTCTCTGTTTCTTCTAATAATTTTCAAAAATTTAACTTAGTTTAATTAGGCCCCATTTGTCAATTTTTGTTCTTGTGATTGCTTTTGAGGACTTAGTCATAAATTCTTTGCCAAAGCTGAAGTCAAGAAGGGTAATTCCTAGGTTTTCTTCTGGGATTTATATGGTTTGAGGTCTTACATTTAATTCTTTAATTCATCTTGAATTAATTTTTATATATGATAAGAGATAGGGGTCCAGGTTCATTCTTGTGCATATGGCTAGCCAGTTATCCCAGCACCAATTATTGGATAGGGAGACCTTTCCCCACTGCTTATTTTTGTTCAATTGTTGAAGATCAGATGCTTGAAATTGTAAAAATAAAGAAGTCAATAAGTAAAATAAAATTATTCCATTTTAAATTGACAGATAATAGCTTTGTATATTTATAGGGAGCACAATGTGATGTTTTGATCTATGTACTGTATACATTGTAGAAAAATACAATCAAGCTAATTAACATATCCATCACTTCACCAAGTTATCATTTCTTTGTGATGAGAACATTAAAAATCTATTCTTTTGGCAAGTCAATACATTATTACTAACTGTGATCACCATGCTGTGCAATAGATTACTAGAACTTATTCCTCTAGTCTAACTGAAATTTTGTACCCTTTGACCAACGTTTTCCTTCCTCCATTTCTCCTTTGACAAGCAATTTCTACTCGCTGTTTCTATGAGGTGGACTTTTTAGAGTCAACATATATGTGAGATCATACAGTGTGTATATATATGTATAAATATATAATGTATTCTATATGTATAAATGTATATATGCATATAAATATTATACATGTATATATGTAAGTGAATATATACATGTATATGAGTATTATAAATATATAATGTATTCCATATGTATATATGTATATATGTATATAAATATACATGTATATATGTATATAAATATACATGTATATATGTAAGTATATATACGTATATATATACACACTCATATGTATATAAATATATTATCATGTATATATATTATTTCTTGTGTCCTCTGGTCTCCATTTTCCTTGGTGGAAGTTCTTCCCAGATGTCTAGTGATCCTTGATTGTCTGCTCATGATTAAAATTTAAGGATTGGGGAATAAAATAATGTTTGAAAGTTCTGAGTTTGCAGCCTGATTGGTCAAACTTTAATTTTACTGTAAAATTATCGGGATTTTTTTTATTGAAAAATGCTATATTTTAATATCTTCACATCATTATTTTCCATCTGAGCGCATTGCACTAAGAAGAGTTTTCTAATCTTCTGTTTGAATGATAAAGATCTAGCTGGCTGCTAGAGATATGGAAGCAGGACTGGGTGAGGACTGAAAAATAAGAGAGCCAGAGATTCTTAGCATTCAGCATTCAGTGTGCACATGGCCCATAGTCATTTAACATTCTCTCAACTATGCCTGGCAGTTCCCACTTCCGAGACTTTCTAATTTACTTTACCCAAAGAAAAAAACCTCTAGGTTATCTTCTCTGGTTGGGGGAGACGGACTCCTAGGGATATATACTGGATAAGGGGATCTGGAGGTCTGAAGGTTTTTCAACAGTTTTTTTTCTTTTCCCTACTCCTTATTTCAGCCTCTTTCTTTTATACCTGATTCTACAGGTACCTGGGGCTAACATTTCCTCACTCCTTGGGGATTCTGTAATATAAATCTGGTTGTTTCTCAGCTTTTCCCAAGGCCTGCCTGAGAGTCAGTTTTTAGTCCTGCTAAGTTAATTATCACTGGTTCATTTGCTTTCCAGCTTCTGAAATGTTGTTGCTGTTTTATTCTCTCCTGTTCTCTCTGTCCTTGTGGATCCTAGTGGAGT
This sequence comes from Homo sapiens, assembly GCF_000001405.40. Classification (NCBI taxonomy): domain Eukaryota; kingdom Metazoa; phylum Chordata; class Mammalia; order Primates; family Hominidae; genus Homo; species Homo sapiens. The sequence goes on from NC_000023.11 coordinate 146,834,224, forward strand.
TTTCAGATGAAGTGAAGTTAGATGTGTATATTCAATCTACTATCTTATTATTTTCTGCCTCTGGAGTAAAGTACTAGGAATTTATAGATTTAGGGAACCTGGAGTAGTTGTCTTCATGGCACAAATTCAAAATACATAGACCACAGTTAATTTGGAAATGATATACATCTGCATTCTTCAAACTGAATCAAAATTGAATCAAAATATAGACACAATGAAAGAAAATAAATCATTTTTTATTTCTCTCAGTTTCTCATTTATTCTTTAATAAAAATTGTGAAGGCCTGAAACTTTTATTTTCTATATAGTCTATACTTCTGATGTTCAAAAAATAACTAAAAAACCTTTAGTTCCTGTTATGGTTAATACTGAGTGTCAACTTGATTGGATTGAAGGATGCAAAGTATTCATCCTTGGCGTGTCTGCGAGGGTGTTGCCAAAGGAGATAAACATTTGAGTCTGTGGGCTGGGAAAGGCAAACCCACCCTTAACCTGGGTGGGCACCATCTAATCAACTGCCAGCGAACATAAAGCAGGCAGAAAAACGTGAAAAGGCTAGACTGACTTAGCCTCCCATCCTACATCTTTCTTCAGTGCTGGATGCTTCCTGCCATTGAACATAGGACTCCAAGTTCTTCAGCGTTGGGAATAGGACTGGCTTCCTTGCTCCTCAGCTTGCAGATGGCCTATTGTGGGACCTTGTTATCATGTGAGATGCTACTACTTAATAAACTCCCTTTTCTATATGTATATCCTATTAGTTCTGTCCCCCTAGAGAACCCTGACTAATACAGTCCCCCTTCTGGCAATAGGCTTGTCACTCCAAATAATTCCAAGTAAGGCAGCTTTGAAGATTGCTAGGTATCAATGGCACATTTTGGCATAAATTGTGGCATAAATTGAGATTATTGGCTTTATTTGAAACCAAGAGAACAGAGCTAAAGGAGCCTGACTCTCAAGTGTGACTGAACAGGCCAAGAAGCCCAAAGTATGGTATCCAAAGGAATGAAGTAAGATAGAAGTACATTATGAATTCTAAAAGAGTAATGAGAAAGTTTTTGCCACCCATGTGCTTGTTTTCTCTAGTACCCTATTGCTTTTTGAATGTTGCTAGTATGTAGGGTATGAAAATAGTGTTTCAACCTTATATGCTCTAAATGAATTACACTTAACACAACATTAAACATAAGTAAAAGTACTTGCCAGCATGGATAGCTCACTTCTTTCCTTTTTTTTTTTTTTTTTTTTTTTTGAGATGAAGTCTTGCTCTGTTGCTCAGGCTGGAGTGCAGTGGCGTGATCTCGGCTCACTGCAACTTCTGCCTCCCAGGTTCACGCCATTCTCCTGCCTCAGCCTCCTGAGTAGCTGGGACTACAGGTGCCCACCACCACACCCAGCTAATTGGATAGCTCATTTCTAAAGTCCAGAAAATATGTTTTGTGCACATTGTGTAAACAAGTCCTTTAGAATAAATAGAGATAAAAATGGGAGCTAAAATTACAATTTCAGATCTGGAAAAGCTTAAAATATAGGTTAGGTCTGGGGGCATAGCCAGAGGAGATATATATATATATATATATATATATATATATATATATGTATATGTATATGTATATATATATGTGTGTTTGTGTGTGTATATATATGTGTATATATATGTATATATCTTGAATATAAGAGGAGGTTCTGAGGAAGAGTATAGGAAAATTAAAGTAACTAGAATGATAGTGGGTCAATTTAAGAATGACTGAGGTCAAAATTGACCTTATTTTCTGCAGTTTCACTCATTTATTTAATCAATATTTAGAGAGTGCTTGTTCATGCTACACTCTGTGCTTGGTGTCTGGCATTCAGAGGTGAAAATAATCAGTACTATTTTCTACTGAATGTATCTTATGTAATAGGAGTTGTGGTAGACATGTTATTAATGTGCCCCTTCTCATTTATTCCTCATAAGAACTTTTGAGTGGGAGTCCTTATTATCCCCAATGACTTCTCCAATGTTGATCAGCTGGAGTCCCCATAAAAAAACAGAACCCATTACAATTAGGATAATTCATGGAGGAGAGTGAGTGTTTAAAATGGAACCATTTATAAAATTATATAATTAATTATATAACTAATTCTAAATTATAAAAGAAGCCACACGGAACACTGCAGGAATACTGGTGTTATTAGTGGCAAAACTGTCACCATCTCAAGTATATGAAGACCTTGGAGAGGAATTGTATAAAGTTAAACTCATTGAAAGGAGCACTATTAGACTGTTGAGTGACACAGCAAGCCTGGTGTTTCCTACCTTACAGAAAGATAGCCAAGGGAATACATATTTTGATCTCACTTTCCTCCCTCCTCCAAATCTCATGCTTGGGATTTGGCATTAACCGACCTCAACCAAAAACCAGATGTGCCTGTTGATGTAATTCATACCAGTCAGTCAATCTGAACAGAGAGAGTGATGGGGAGAGGTGTAGAATAGAGATTGAGAGACCTACGAAAGATATCCAGCACACGAGGTTATGCAGTAAGGGGCAGAAGAGAACTTCAGTGCAGATATAAATGGTTCCAATGCTTATGTGTTTTTCATTGAGCATTTCAATCTTATACATTTCTTCCTTGATAATTTGGTGGGATAGACAACAGTTTTAACAACTACAATATTACACAAAATGAGCAAGATTAAGAAAATTAATTGATAATTTTGCGACCTGCCTATCGATAGCTTATAAACTTCCAGTTTTCGTTCTTGCTGTGGCTTTACATCTTACCAGGATCCTGGAGTCCCCTTTAGTCTGAAGCTTCTATGTCACAATGGCCCAAAGATGAATCAAACAACTCAAGGAGCTCACAACTGAGTGTGAGAGGTATAGATGAAAACAACTAACTACAATACAAGTGCCTTGTGATATCATAGAAGAGCAAACAATTCAAGTGACTGAAGGTTGGTGGAATAAGGAAAGGTTTCATAGAAGTGACATTAAAATAAGCCTAGGCTAATCAACAAGTGCTCAAGGCTTAATGGACCTGAAATTCTAGAAACTTTGTTAGGAAGATGTCAACTCTCAGTTCATTCCTAATACCAATCAAATCTACCTTGTACATTTCAAATCTCAGGCTAAAATCTGATCTCCAAGCAGCTGGTCTATGGGGGACATAGATGAAAGAATTCTGAGAATTTCCAGTGCATTCGGCTTCATCTAAATTAAAACGAAATTATAGTAGCAGCTTTTATTGCTTTTGGCAACACATTTTCATCTTTTATTAAAAACATTAATATGTTTTTCTCCTGACAAAGACCACGTGTCACCAAGATAAAATTTTTGTTTCACAAAACGCATTTTAGTGTTTTGGAACTTTGTGGAACTAAAATGAAAGCAGGAGTGGAAATGTAATCCTCATTCAAGAAAGAGTACAATCTGTATCATCAAATTTCATTATTTACATGGAACCACACATTAATTGTTCCTCAATAAGTTCTTGGAATTTGTCCAAAAAGCAAGACTTTAATACAGATATTAGCAGAAACCCTACTTATGAAACAAGTGGAAAAGGAATTCTTTTTTTTTTTTTGAGATGGAGTCTTGCTCTTGTTGCCCAGGCTGGAGTGCAATGGCTTGATCTCGGCTCACTGCAACCTCCACCCCCAGGTTCAAGTGATTCTCCTGCCTCAGCCTCCCGAGTAGCTGGGATTACAGGTGCACACCACTGTGCCAGGCTAATTTTTCTATGTTTAGTAGAGACGGGGTTTCACCATGTTGGCCAATCTGGTCTCAAACTCCTGACCTCAGGTGATCCCCCCGCCTCAGCCTCCCAAAGTGCTGGGATTACAGGAGTGAGTCACCACGTCCGGCCAGGAATTCTATTTTTGACTCCCTTCTAAGACTTTGGCATACTAGTTAGCATATCTTAATTATGGCAGAGTAAGTCTAAAAGCATATAAGCATCACTCATGCTAAAACCTGGAAGATCTATCACTTAGTGAATATTTCATTAAATTGTTCTTTGAGAATAGGTTTTTCAACAATGAGAACATTTTTCTCTCATTCCTTTCCAATGACTACTATAGTTTACATTAGCGGAAACCAATCCACAGTTTTGGTAAAAGCATTTAAAGAAATATGAAAATTCCTGTTTAATGAAAATATTTTTTAAATAAAGTCAAATTATTTTCCATATACCTTTAGAGTTGAGCAGGTTCTTTCGTATGACTGGTTCAATACTTAACCAGTTATTGCTGAGTAAATTGAATTCCTATGAAGGGAAATGACTTTAATAAGATCATCTTTCTTAGTTTGTTGCTTTTACTTCCTAACTTTAATATAGAGTTCTATCTGGCCATCCCTGTTTATAATTATGCAGCCAGCTTCTAGTTCTCCTTCTCTATAATATCTACTCTGTCACCTCCATATCAAAATATGTTGACTCCACATCAGAAATACACTTTAAATTTGGCACCTTATTGCCTTTCCCTCTGTTCCTACTATAGTTCAAGCTGCTATCATGTATTAAACAGTTTTGATGGATCCCTTTCAGCCACAAGGAAGAGTCAAAATTTTAAAAAGAACATACAAAACCTTCTTAACCCAGCTTGAACTATCCAAGCTTCTTTTTAGCCATTCACTTACCAACCACCCATTCCAAGTAAATGTCCAACTTTTTAGCAACATGGGATCCTTTCTTTTCCCCAAAAGTGTTAGTCTTACACACTTTCAGGACATAGCATTCTTCCTGCCTAGAAGGAAATGTAATCCTCATTCAAGAAAGAGTATATTCTGTATTACATTTCATTATTCAAACAAAACCTCACATTAAATGTTCCTTAATACATTATTGGAATTTCTCCAGAAAGGAAGGCTTTAATACAGATATTAGTAGAATCACTACTTATGAATCAAGTGGAAACAGAATTCTATTTTTGACACATTTCAGAGACTTTGGCAAACTGATTAGCATATCTTATGACAGAGCAAATCTTGTTTGCCTACTGAATATCTTTTCCATCTTTTGAGATCCTAGTCAAATGTCAGTTCTTTTTTTTTTTTTTTTTTGAGACAGAGTCTTGCTCTGTTGCCCAGGCTGGAGTGCAGTGGCGTAATCTTGGCTCACGGCAAGCTCCACCTCCCGGGTTCACGCCATTCTCCTGCCTCAGCCTCCCGAGTAGCTGGGACTACAGGCGCCCACCACCATACCCGGCTAATTTTTGTATTTTTAGTAGAGATGGGGTTTCACCTTGTTAGCCAAGATGGTCTCGATCTCCTGACCTCGTGATCTGCGGCCTCAGCCTCCCAGAGTGCTGGGATTACAGGCGTGAGCCACTGCGTCCGGCCCAAATGTCATTTCTTGTGTAAAATCTTCTCTACCCTCCAGGACAATGAAGCCCTGACTACTCTGTGCTCTCACAGCATTATGCGCAAAGTTGTGCCACAAACTTTTTCTTTTGTTGCAATATCCTTGAAGTCAGGGGACAAGTGTTATTCAACGTTGTGCGTTTCTCATATTTACTACCATGGCTGGAACATAATAGAAGGTTTTATGTTTGCAAAATAAGTTGTTTAATGCATTAGTTGCCATCAGAGTCTGGTTTTAAAGGTCGACGTACATGGATATATTAATAAATGGTAAGTACTTCCACAGAGAGATGGCTCTCTGTTCTCATTCCCCTTGGTATTGTAGGGTATAACACAAATGAATTAACTGGGACTAGTAGGATGGGAGTTGGTATTTAGGTTATAGCTTTGGAGGGCATCCCTACATTCGACACTGTTTTTCATAGAGAGTTGCCAATTGACATTTGCCAACGGAGTAATGGAACAAATGTTTCTCTATTAAGATGAGTTTTGGTGTGGAAAGCACACAAATAGCTAACTACATTATTCCAAACTTCACCTTTGAGCAATGTAAGAAATAACAAAGAGTTCAGGAATTTCTTCTGGACCCATTTGAGCCTTCATATTTCAGTCTTTTAATCCCAGGACCATTAAGAGATATTAAGGTTAAAAAGTACTTAAAGTTGAACTGTAAATGGACTTGAAAAAGTTGAAATAAATCACCTGTAAATTAGTGAGGTTCTGACAATAAGCAATCCAATTAGGGTACACATCTGTCAACTTACTCAGTTTTCTTTTGAAAGGTATTAATGAGAATGGTGTATTCGAAATTTGCAGCAGTTCTGATTTATAGCACAGGCCCATTTGCATAGCTTGTACCATATTGTCACTCTAGAGACAATAGCTAGATCCTCTTTATGTGAAGAGTTCACCTCTGTCAATAAATTTGTCCAGGTGATAGTGCCAAGAATCTACAAAGGGAAATCACTGGGGTCTATGTGTTTAACTAGAACTGCTGTGTTTATCTATTTGCTGCAGTTCTCCTATGCTAGGAAACAACATTTACCTCTTTCTGCTCTCCAAAGCCTTTGGTTCTAATTAGCTTTTGACCCAGAGATGTTCTAGAAAGCCAGGTTTCTCTTTTTGGTCTGTGGTGGCCTGGGCCCTACTATGTGCCTGTCTCTCTTACAGTCCTCTGGCCCTTAACTATTTGTCTATGTAACCTTGAACATGACAGATTCATTGGAATAAAAAAAGAGGATCTTGATAGCTTCCAAATCATTTTGTGGTTGACTTTATGATATATCAGTTTCCACTAAATGGAAAATTGTGATGTTGTCAGTCTGACAAAGAAAACTAAATTTTGCTTCAGTCTGGATAATGTCGGTGAATAACAAATTTCTTTCTTTTGCCTTTCAACTGTCTTATACAAAGAGAAAAAGCAATTTGTTTTTGTAACATTTAGAGCCTAAGTAGAATGGCAATGCCTCCTTTAGTGTGTAAATACGACATTATTAAATTGAAGTGCTTAATGAACGTCTTTTCGTTAATTCATTTATCAAAAAGGTTTTATATGTATGTTCACTTCTATTTTAATAATTAATTTGGGGTTAGAGATTGGAAAACAAGATTTTGTCACAGATTTTGTTAACTTCCTGAGCACACATCAAAAATGGTATTAGTCAAAATTCATAGATACATAGCCTATGAAACGTTTGCAAAGAAAAGAAAGATTTTCTTAAGTAAAATAGAGCACTCAAATTTTGAGGGATATACATTGATTTTGATAACAGAAAAATACTGATGTTCAATTGAAAATATTAGCACATTTTTATCTTCAGCTTTGTTGCAAAACATTTTCATCTGGCAATTAAGGCTGAAGGCAACAAAGAAAGTCTTTAAAAGGTTAAGTTAAATAATACACAGTTATAACCATACTGGAGACTATGAAATTTCTCCAATAAATGACCATAAGTACAATTCTGCAAATATTGAGTCCCTCATTGCACCAGTTGTTTCTTTTTACTTAGTTTGTTTTATTAATTAAACAATGAATTTATTCATAAATATATAGCTATCCAAAAATAATTATTACCAATTATGTGTAAAAGAGCAACACAAACTGTTTCTCATCTTATAACATTTAGTAATATAAGAAACACTTCTTATATTAGAGATAAATGAAATCATGTCTAGATCCTGTAAGGTGAACAGGAATGAACTGAGGCATGCTAATATCATCACTAATATTATACTTGTACAAAGATTGCATGCAACTTGAAAGGTAAAAAAAATGAGCAATTTGGTTTCAAATATGACCAAGAAAAAGCAAAGAGACTAAGAACTAGAGAGTTTTCTAAAAAGTTAAAAATGCAGCATATATCTTTCAAAACAGAAAGCTGAATAACCCTGAAAATGTCATATTTTGCCACTTTATTTTTATTCCTGGAATTGTACTTGAGAAATGACGAGTGTATTCCCACAGTTAATTAGCAGACATGGAATAGGGTTACAAGGAGCACTCAGACCACAGTCATGACATCCTGAAGATTCTTTCACATTCTAGAATGAGCAAATGCCAAGCCTTATCACACAGAGGAACCAACTAATGATGTGTACATACATGTGACAGAATTTAGAAATGTCTAAATAATGTGAAAGTCATCTGGTCTACCTCACTTTGAACATGAGGAAACTGCTCAAGGAATCGAAGATGATTTGCCCATGGTTACCCAGTAAGTTAGTGTCAAATCGGGGGCTCATTTAAACTTAGTGGCTCCCAATAGTGAGGTCTTTCAAAGAGCATTTGTGCTTCTTCAGGTGACTTTTTATAGTCAGTATTCCCCATCCGTTTGCAGCGATGCTGTCTCTTTTCTATTCAGCTTTTAGTCATTCATCTCGATAAGGTGCCTAACATTTTTCACCATGCAATTAGCAAACAGTGGTCCAGAGAGGCTTTAAATATTGACATCAAGATACAATATTTCTATAATCATGCATACAGCTCTTTTCCTAGTCCTATTTCCCACGGCCTTCACTTATCCACACTCCAGAGATACCAGTCAAACTTGACAGTTCTTGGGTTTGCCATGCACTTTCATACCACTTTGGCTGTGTTTCAGCAGTTCTTAGCCTGGAATTCCTTCTACTTGATTATTTTTCTGTCTTCTAAAGTCCTTCTCACTGAAAATAAAAACAATACAAATGAACCAGCAACAAAATGCACAGAGAATATAGGCAGTCGACATATAGAAATAGAGATACATGTAGTCAATAATTATATAAAAAGTGCTCAGCCTCACTAATACAAAAGTGGAAATTCAAATGAAGTGACGTTTTTTATCTTGGAGGTTACCAAAAAAGTTTGCTAATAAGCACTATTAGTGGAAATATATGGAAATAAGAAAACCTCATAAGCTTTATGGCTAAATGTGTGGTAGGTTTTTCCATTTGTTTGTGTCGTCTCTGATTTCTTTAGCAGTGCTTTGTAATTCTCATTGTAGAGCTCTTTCATCTCCATGGTTAGCTTGGTTCTTAGGCATTTGATTATTTTTGTGGCTATTGTGAATGGGATTGCCTTTGTTATTCCACTCTCACCTCGAACGTTATTTGTGTACAGAAATGTTACTGAGTTTTGAATATTGATTTTGTATCCTGAAACTTTGCTGAAGTTGTTTATCAGACCTAGGAGCCTTTGGACAGAGACTAAGGGGTTTTTTTTTCAAGGTATTGAATCATATTCACTGTGAAGAGACAAAGTTTGACTTTCTCTCTTTCTATTGGGGTGCCTTTTATTTCTTTTTCTTGCCTGATTGCTCTGGCTAAGAGTTCCAGTACAATTTTGAATAGGAGTAATGAGAGTGGGCATTCTTGTCTTGTTCTGGTTCTCAAAGGGAATGCTTCCAGCTTTTGCCCATTCAGTATAATTTTGGGTGTGGGTCTGTCATAGATGGTTGGTATTATTTTGAGGTATGTACCTTTGATTCTTGGTTTGTTGAGGGTTTTTAACATAAAGGGATATTGAATTTTATCAAAAACATTTTCTGCGTCTATTGAGATGACTATTTGGTTTTTGGCTTTAGTCCTGTTTATGTGATGAATCACATATATTATTTTGTGTATGTTGAGCCAACTTTATAGCCCAGGAATAAAGCATACTTGCTCATGATGGATTATGTTTTTTATGTACTAATGGATTCAATTTGCTGTATTTTGTTGAGGATTTTTGCATCTATGTTAATCAGAAAATTGGTCTGAAGTTTTCTTCTTTCATTGTGTCTCTGCCAAGATTTGGTATCAGAATGATGCTGAACTCATAGAATGAATTAGGGTGAAGTCCCTCCTCTGTTATGTTTTGAAACAGTATCAGTAGGATTGGTACCAGCTCTTCTTTATACATCTCATAGAATTTGGCTGTGACTCCATCTGATGCAGGGCATTTTCTGAGTGGTAAGATTTTTATTTCTGATTCAATTTCAGAACTCATTATTGATATGTTCAGGCTTTCTATTTCTTCTTGGTTCAATCTTAGGAAGTTGTATGTTTCCAGGAATTTATCCATTTATTCTAGGTTGTCTATCTTGTGTGCATAGAGGGGTTCATAATAGTCTCTGAGAGTTTTTATATTTCTGTGGGGTCGGTGGTAAGGTCTATGTTATCATTCCTGATTGGGTTTATTTGGATCCTCTTCCTTTTTTTCTTTATTAGTCTAGCTAGTGGTCTATCTTATGTCTTCTGTCAAAGAACCAACTTTTGGTTTCATTGATTTTTTGTGTGATTTTTCTCATCTCCATTTTGTTCAGTTCAGCTCTGATTTTGATTATTTCTTGTCTTCTGCTACATTTGGGGTTGGTTTACTTTTGCTTTTCAAGTTTTTCTAGGTTTGATTGTTAATGTGAGGTCTTTTTAACTTTTTGATGTGGATGTTTAGTACTATAAACACCTCTCTTAACACTGTGTTAGTTGTGTCCCAGAGATCTAGTACATAGTATCTTTGTTTTTATTAGTTTCACAGAATTTCTTGATTTCTGTCTTAATTTCATTGTTTACCAAAAAGTCATTCAGGAGCATGTTGTTTGATTTCCATATAATTGTATGGTTTTGAGAGATGTTCTTGGTATTGATTTCCACTTTTATTTTGCTGTGGTCCAAGAGCGTGGTTGGTATGATTTCAGTATTATTTTATTGTTTACTCCAAATCATTTAGGAGCATTTTAATTTCCATGTAATTCTATGTTTTGAGAGATATTCTTGGTACTGATTTTTATTTTTATTGCACTGTGATCCAAGAGTGTGGTTGGTAATTCAGTTTTTCAAAAACATTTGCTGAGAATTCCTTTATGGCGTAGTGTGTGGATAGGAAGAATCAATATTGTTAATATGGCCATAATGTCCAAAGCTGTTTACAAATTAAATTTTATTCCTATCAAAATACCAATGACATTTTTCACAGAATTAGAAAAAAAAATCTAAAATTTATTTGGAACCCCTCCAAAAAACCCATACAGCCAAAGCAATTCTAAACAAAAAAAACAAAGCTGGAGTCATCTCACCACCTGACTTCAAACTATAGTACAAGGCAACAGTATCTAAAACAGCATGGCAATGGCACAAAAACAGACACATAGATCCATGGGAATGATCAGAGAACTCAGGAATAAAGCCATATACCTATAACCATCTGATATTTGACAAAGCTCATAAAAGCAAGCAATGGGGAAAATACTCACCACTCAGTAAATGCTGCTGGGCTAACTGACTATCCATATGCCAAATATTAAAACTGGACCCCTACCTTTCACCATATACAAAAATCAACTCAAGATGGAATAAAGATTTTAATGTAAAACCTAAAACTATAAAAATTCTAGAAGAAAATCCAGAAAATATCATTCTGAACATCATCCCAGGTAAAGACTTCATGATGAAGACTCCAGAAGCATTTGCAACAAAACCAAAACACTGACAAGTGAGACCTAATTAAACTAAAGAACTTCCATACAGTATAAGAAATTATCAACAGAGTAAACAGACAACCTAGAGTATGGGAGAAAATGTTTGCAAATTATGCGTCTGACAAAGGCCTAATATCCAGAATCTATAAGGAACTCAAACAAATAATAAAAAAATGCAATTTAAAAATTGGCAAAGGACATAAACAGACACTTTTCAAAAGAAGACATTCACTCAGTCAACAAGCATATGAAAAAATGTTCAATGTTACTAATCATTAGGGAAATCCAAATCAAGACTAAAATGAGATACCATCTCACACCAGTCAGAATGGCTATTATTAAAAATCCAATAAATAATATATACTGATGAGGTTGTGGAGAAAGGGAATTACTTATCTACTGCTGGTTGGAATGTAAATTTGTTCAGCCACTGCGGAAAGCATGCCCAGGTAACAAATCTGAATGTGTACTTCTTGAACCTAAAATAGAAGTTGGAATAAACAAAAGAAATCTCATAAACCTTTGCTAAGTATGTGTAACTATATATTCATGTGTACATTAAAAGGCTGGGCAAGAACCTGTATATTATACATATATACATTTATGCAAATATGTATATATGTATATGGATGTGGCTTAGGTCTGTATGTGTTAACTACACACTGGACAAGTTCAACTTCTGTATGGCAATAACAATTACTTACATTTATGTGGCGCTTTATAGTATCCCAAACACATTTATATTTGTTTTTTCATTGGAAACTTAGGAATTGGTACTAAGAATTTTTTAAACAAAGTAAGTTTATATTCCACAACATTCATATGAAGTTATTTGTTTAAGGAAATAGAACTGGTTAGGAGAACTCAAAGAAATTTTACATTTACTACCCTGTTTGTAACTCTTCACACAAGTGGGGTGAGGGAGGATGGTGGAGGATGCAAGACAGAGATGGGCTGGAGAAAAAAGCTATGAATAAACAAGACAGAAAATGGCCAAAAATAGTAAGCACCTTGGAATCACCACCTTCTTTGCCAGGCATTTTCTTTTATTCCAAAAGAAATCTTTCATCTGACTAATTAGTGTTTAAAAATTATTGCCTCCCTTGTACCCCTCCTAAAACCCAAGGAGCTAAATATCTACAGTGAACCTTAGAATCAGTACCCATTCCAAAGACAGGATGACCTGTATATATTCTGAATAATTCTGCACATTAAATGTGGAATTGTGTCATTTTGTTTCATTTCAATTCACTTCTTTTTATTTCGTTTTTTAATCTGTCTCTACCTGATCAAAATAAATCAATATCCAGGCAATGGGTTAAATTTAGAAGTTTATGCTTGAAAAAATATTCAATATGTCAGTAGGTGAGTTTTCTTGCCTGAGCTTGAAACAATGCTGTGAACTCATCCTTCCATCTTTTCTAAATATCTTATTGCAAAGGAACTCTTGCCAAAACACACAACCACCAACTTTCCTCTAATTAGCCCTTAAGGAATTGTTTTTAAAGTCTTAATTTTCAGGAAACAGATGTAAACCTAACTTCTAATTATGAAAGACATAGGCTTCTTTTTCCATTTTTTTTTCTTTTTATTTCATTTGCTGACAAGTGAGACAACCCACTGTGTTTTCTTCAAGGATAATTTTCCAAAGGCAAAGGAGGGGTTGGAAAGCAATTGAGCTCTTTCATGAATGGAGATTGTAAAAAACGCAAATACAGAGCATTTAGTCTTGCCTCAGGAAATAATTCCATACTTATACCTCAAATTATGCATGTGCTCAGAGCAGTCAGAAACATATGCATGCGTGTACATGTGTGTGTGGACACATGAGCACACATTAACATTAGTGGTAAATAGAAGAGAGGATTAATGAAAACCAACCGTGATAAAGAGAGTAAAATAGCTCATTAATATAATGCTGTTATATCAAACACATGGGATGAACTGTAGAATTGGATTATGATACAGCACTTGCATTTTTAGAGGCAGAAAGAGAAAGACTCTAGAGATCTGGGTACCTGCTTGAGGACAGATCTCAGATACAGAAGTGATTCTTAATAGTATTTACAATATACATTCTCTCCTTATATTTCTCCTAACTATTCCACATTATATATTCTTTCCTTTTCCTTACTATAGCAATATTTTATTTCAGATAGCAACATGCCCAAATGAAAATATCTATTTCCCATTCTCTTTTGCAAGTAGGCTGTCATGTGGCAGGCAGTTCTGGCCAATGAGTTGTAAGCAAAAGTCACCTGGTGAGATTTCTGAACAAAATTTTCAGAGGGGTCTGAGTCTACTGATACACGGGTTTTGGCCCTTCCCTGTTGTCGTTCCTTCTTCTTTTTAGTGGGAAAAAAACAAGATGGTCAGCACCATAGTAACCATCCTGAGATAACTGATGATGACCTTGAGGATAGAAGGCACAGACTACGGGAAGCAGAACAGAGAGAAAGAAGCTTGGAGAACTGATGGCTTCACAAAGCTTCTGTACATGCTTCAGACTTCCTACTTTGCAGGTTGTGGTAAAAGAAATATAACATCACACTGGTTTAATCCATTGTTTTCCAGTTTTCTATTAGTAGCAACTGACTATAAGAGGGAATATTTTAACCAAATAAACTTTGTACATTGAAGGCTCTTCTAAACCAGATAATGAAGGGCTCTGAAATGATCCTTCTACTTTTACAAAAACTGTTAAGTGATACCTATCAGAATTGAGGGAGGCAGGCAAGTTTTCTACATGTACCAGGAGAGAGTCAACAGCAGCCATATCTAACAGCAAAACTTCCCAGAAAGAAATGGCGATGTGGACATGCCAGCAGCCGTCATCTCTCAAAATTGCCCAGGACAACATCATTTATTTCCATCTATATTTACAAGACTAGTTTCCAAATGAAGTGATGTGGAGTGAAGTGTTCCAGGATTGCTCTGAACAGTAGCACAAAGAAAATGATGGCAAAGCAAAAAACAAAATTAACTCAGAGTTGTTTAGTCCTCAAATGAACTTTCCCCCCAGCCTCAGTTGGTTCTTGGTCCTGCACATCTCTGCAGCATAAATTTCATCTTACCCTCCTTCTCCTCCCCTAACACCACACATTTGTCTCTAGCCACATGTAACTCCATGTAATTGATAAACACATCATGCTATTTCTCACCTCTAGCTTTTGACTCATGCTAGTTTCTCTGCTTGCATGCCCTTTTTGTCCTTGCCCCTTCTTCTAAATAACTGATATTTGTTCTGCAGAACTCAGCTTTTAATTCTGCCCTTCCGGAAAGGCTTCTGTTCCTATTCTTTCCATCTTACCGTCACATATAATGTGGACTAAGTACCTCCCAACATTTGCTACCTGGGCTTACCACCCAGAGCTTATGCAGAGTATGCTGTCACCACACTGATTTTTTATTTCTTCTAGAGTTCTGGGTTGGGAGCAGGAACTACGTATGACCCATTTCTGATTTCCAAGCCCTAGCACAATACCTAGTACTTAGTATTCATTAAATATTTGTTGAATGAATGGATGTCATAAATTATTTAAAAATGCTTTTGGTATTTTTCCACATTTGCAATGCCTCTGTAAAATTGATGTTAAGTAAAATATGTCCTTAGACCGATTTGCTGACATAAAACCCAAAACGAACCAAGCTTCACTATAATGCTGAATAAACTCTAAGATGATTTTAGGTAGAACACACAGAGAAAAATAACTTAATATAGAACTTTCTTCTACATTTTAATATCCATGGCAAATTAGTCTAGTGGTTTATCAAATCTTCCTGTTTATTTTTCATGTGTTTTGGCTGTAAATATTACAGGCCAAGTGGGCACTATGCATGAAGGAATTTGTGACTGGGGTTCGAGGAAGACGCCAAAGTTAACGTGAAGGGGTGATCATACATATTTTTATCTATGTGAAGTACATTGAGAAGGCTGGGCTTGTCTCCCTGCAGGAAATTGGCCAATCTGGTGTAACACCCTGGAGGGATGAGGAAGGAGTGTCCGACATGGTGGACCTGATGAATCACAGTATCATTTCACACAACCCCTCAATGTTTCTCCAGAATCTTTTCTCACATCCGTCTCCAACCAGGCATTAACAATTAACCAGAGGCTAGATATATGGTAGACAGGCTTATCTATGTCAGCTGAAGACATCTATTTTCAGAGTTGAATGTGTATCAGAATCACTGGGAGAGCTTGTTAAACCACAGATTGCTGTTAAATTCCCAGAGTTTTTAACTTTGCAGGTCTGGGGTGGAGCCAAAAATTAGCATTTCTGATAAGTTCCCAGGAGATGTTGATTCTGCTCCTACAAACAACAGGCTTTTACAATTACTACCATAGTTAGTCAAGGTGATTACATTCCATAATTAGAAAAATATAAAAAATAAAAGGCATTCCCTTTTCCCTCAAAGGATGAAGAGTGTCCTTGGTCATCTAAGAGACTGGAATTCTGAAGCTAGGACTAAAAGTAGAAAAGAAAGAAAAAAGACAAAAACACTAATTAATTTGCTTGTCAGGAGCATAGGAGCAACTGGTATTGCCATCTGGATAGGAAACTGTAAACTTCTAGACCAAACCATCTCCTCCTCCTCTTTAGCTGCCATTCCTGAAAATTCTGTCAAGGTAGGGTAAGGTATGTTTTGTTTCCTTTAGAGCTAGAACCACAGCAAGTATGCCCCTGGACAAATGAATTCACTCTTAAATATAATTACTTAATGTGAACCACCTTGCTTTAGAATTTCTTGCTCCACTCTCCCAGTACTGCTTCTTTTTTGTGCAAAGTATCTGCTCTCTCTCTCTGCCTCTCTTTCTCTGGATTATGTCAATAGGATATTGATGAGCCTTTTGTGGTAAATTCTGAGTATCAGCTTTGGATACCTCTTCACAGTTGTGCCTTCTAATTGACATCTACCTGTTTGAGTTATTTCTGCAAACCCATGATTTTCTTTTCTATTAAGCCCTGAATTGTACTGAGTATAGTCTTCTCTGGTAATGGTACCAGTCACCTAACCAGGAAACTTTACTCCTCCTTCTCTTTAGCCCTTTCATCTAATCAGATCACAAGATTGAGTAATATTTATGACCCCTCTTCTTTCCTCTAGTTCTACTATAATTATTGTAACTCTGACTTTCTTAGTCTTTCTTGGCTGCAGTCTCTTTCTCCAAATCAAAAATTGTGCTGATCAAACCCTCCAGCTTGTTTAAAACTCTTCAGTAACTCTTCATTACCCACAGCACTGTTCTTCAAATTCTCTTTTTGAAGGGCCTATAGTTACACGGAGGAGATGACATTTATTCTGGTTCATAATGCGTGAGTTCCTTAAGGCATGGAAGATAAAACATTTTATTCCAAGGCAAGCAAAATTGATGGGGTTGGGTGGGGGAAAATAGTCAAACTTCTAATAAAGTGCTGCTACGGTGCCCATGTCTTCACTTCAGCCAGACTTGCTTCTTTGATATATTTTATATATTCAGCCCTGTATAAGTTTTCCCTTGGAAAATAGGTTTTTAAGAAAAAATCTGAACACCTTTGGGATGTAGGATAAAATCTCTAAATATGTTGGATAGTCAAAGCTCTCAATGATCTAGTCTGCACCTATCTTTCCAGCCTCTTATCTTACTACATTATCTCATGTCCCCTTGAAAATAAATACAGATTCTCCCCCAAACACTCTTTCCCGTGTCTTTGCCTCTGCACATGGTTTCCTCTGTACTTGGGAAACCATTTTTCATCTCTCTGTACCAGTGAACTCACTCATTATGGCCCACTATGACTCAAAGCAAATCTCAGTTTCTTTCCAGAGTCACAATTACTACCACAATTATCTGTGCTCCCACAGTACTCTGAAAGTACTTTGCAAACACCTCCTTAATTCAGTCACTTTAATTTCCTGGGTGAGGTATCATCTTTGATTGTCCCAAGTCCCACTGCCTTGCCAGACCCAAAGTAGCTATCGCTAAGTACTTGTGTTAAAATGAACGACATAAAGGTAAAATTTTCCCAAACATGTAATAAATAACAGTAATTTACATTTATATAATTTGATGTTTGATGCATTAAATTTCTGTGCCATGCAGTGGTACACTACAGAGATAGTACCATACTAACTGAATTTAAATCCTGGTTGTACACTTTACTGGCTTTGTGGCTTTAGGCATATTACCTAACCTATTTACGTTGCAGTTTCTTCATGAGTAGCAGATAGATGTAACTACATCAAAGGACTGAATTAGTTGACATATGTAAATCACTTAGCATAGCACTCAGCTCATCATTACATTTATTCTGGCTCATAATGCGTGAGTTCCTTAAGGCATGGAAGATAAAATATTTTATTCCAAGGCAAGCAAAATCGATAGGGTTGGGTGAGGGATATATTCAAACTTTTAATGAAGTGGTGCTACAGGTGCCCATGTTTTCACTTCAACCAGACTTGCTTCTTTGATATCTTTTGTATATTTAGCCCTGTTTAAGTTTTCCCTTAGAAAATAGGTTTTTAAGAAAACCTATTTTCTTAAAGAAAAATACCTATTTTCTCATCATAAGCACTCAGTGTATGTTAACAACTACTATTCTGTTGTTTCATACATTGACTTACTACTCATTAAGTGTATTTTAGTCCACATTTCAATAACTGAGAATCTTCAGGATTTATCCAACATTCTCAGCTTTAAAGTTACATAATTCTATGTTGATCAAGAAAATAGACAATGAAATTAATTAATGTGTAGGCAATATGTAGAACTTTTTAAGCAATGAAGATATTTGCCAAAATAAACCAAGTTTTTAAGGCTTCTTTCGTAGTATATTCTATACTTCAACTCGTAGGACAATTTTAAAAAATCTAGTATGAACAAAAAGGCATTATACCTAATTATTAATTTTATTTTTTGAATAGCCTCAACTAATACAATGCATAAATCTTAAGTGTTCAGTACAATGACTTTTGATAATTTTTTGATCCCCTGTAACTACCATCAAAAGGAAGATATAGAGCATTTCCATTACCGCAAGAAGTTTCCTCCTGCCTCCACCAAGCTGATCTTAACAGCCACTTTTTAGAGCTAATCATTGACTGGCTTATTTCAACAAAGATTACTTTTGACTGTTTTGCATTTGATATAAATTGAATCATGCAGTCACAATTGTTTCTAGCTTCTTCCATACAAGATTGGGCTTTTGAGATGCATCTATATTGTTGCATTCATCTCTCTTTCATTTCTTTTGATGGCTGAGGAGTATTTCATTGGAATACTCAATATTATTACTCATGCTTCTGTTGATGAGCCTGTAGGTGGCTTTCAGTCTGGGGCTATCATAGACAGGACTGTTACGAATAAATAGTCTTTTAGTTGTCATTTGTAGACATTAGTTTTTATGTATTTTCAAATAAATACCTAGAAATGCAATTGGAAGATAACATGGTTTGGATGTATGACCCCTCTAAACCTCATGTTGAAATTTGATCCCTAATGTTGGAGAAGGTGCCTAGTGGGAGGTCTCTGGGTCATGAGGACAGATCCCTCATGAATGGCTTGGTGCCATTCTCATGGTAGTGAGTGAGTTCTTGCTTCATTAGGTCCTATGAGAGATGGTCGTAAAAAAGAGCCTGGCACCTCTTCTCTCTCTCTCTTGCTTCCTCTTTTGCTATGTGATCTCTGCACACACCAGCTCCTCTTCCCCTTCCCCCACGAGTGGAAGCAACCTGATGTGCTCACCAGATGCAGATGCCCAATCTTGAACTTTTCAGCCATCAGAATTCTGAGACAAATAAACATTTTGTCTTTGTCAATTACCCAGCCTCAGCTATTTCTTTATAGCAATACAAAATGGACTAAGACAGTTGGTTATAGATAAATTATGGTTAACTTCATAAGCAACTGCCAAATTGTTTTCCAAAGCAGGTGTATCATTTTTACACTCCTACTGGCAATGCATATCCTTTTCAAAATTTGGTACAGTCAAATGGTTTTTATTATAGCCAACATATTGAATGTGAAATTTTATCACATTAGGGTTTTGTTTTGCATTTCTCTGATGACTAGTGATATTGAGCACCTTGTCAAGTGCTTTTTAGCCATATATTTATATATACATAGACGTATACATATACAGACATGAAATACATATATATATATTATTGTTTGCAAATGTTTCATGTACCAGGATATCAAACATTTTTTCAGATATATGTACTAAAAATATTTCATCCCAGTCTATGACTTGTGTCAAAGATAAACAAAGCATGGCATTAGAGTGGTCAGTAACTATGACAGTCGGGAAAAAAGCAGAGCTCCACTGTGATTCGTACAAGGGTGACTGGGCATTTTAAAGGGAGAATGAAAAAGCAGAGAGAAAGAAAATGGGAGATGGGGGTGGATGCTTCTTTATATGTCTCATAATTTTGGCTTAATGCTGTACATTTTTTTAGGACAGTGGTAACTAAGGCATGCTTTTAGTTGGCCTGGTCTTCAATGTGGGTGCCTGAGACGTTGGGCTGAGTAGGGTTTTATTGTTGAAATTATTACCTTCAGTGTACTATGGTCTTTAAATTCCTCTAGTGTTACTGTGTATTTAGGCTGAAAACTCATTTTCCAGAAGATTATTTTCTTAATGTCTGGTCCACCTTCAGCTGGAGGTCTTCTCTTTTGCCCGTGTCTCAAAGTAGGCTGCAGCCTTCTCTTTTGACCCTCTCCCAGCGGGAGGTTGCTGTTACTTGTTACATGAAGCTGGCTAGGCTGGTGATAGAGGGTGGAGAGTATTCTCTGGTGTTCTGGTTCAGTCTGAGTTTTAGGCAGGCTCGGTGTCTCCCTTGATCTTACAGTAGGGCATTATTGATCCTGTTCCTTCCACAGCAGTAGACTCTATTTTTCTTGGCCATGAATGTGTTTCTGCCCTTTCCCTAGGTATAGAGGGATTTCTCTGTTCCCTTTACCCAGCTGCAATTTGTCTTCATCTGTGCCTGAGGGTGACAGTGCTTGTTGTCATTCCTCTAGTGAATTAAGGCTTTTGTTCCCTAGGGGGAAGAGGGGAAGATAATTCATATGGAGCATCACACCAGCTATCTCCTGCTCCCTGTCCTGCACTGCAAAGGAGGCCTTTTCATCCTCTCTACTGCCTCCAATTTTTCTCACGAGGAATGTGAGAGGAAAACCTGTAAGTAGATGTGAACTTCCCTTGTTTGTAAGGCTCCAGAGGTTTCTATACTCTCATGCTAGGTCTCCTACGGTAGAATTACAAGTCATAAATATTATATTTTTTTCAAATATACTCATTTAAAGTGATTTAAATTTCTCTCTAAACCCAGCTTTAGCTGTATCCCAAAATTTGATATACTTTATTTCCATTCACTTCAGACTAATTTCTTTTGTATATTTTTTTTGACCCAGGTTTGTTTAGAAGTATACTTGTAATTTCCAAATATGCTGGATTTTCTAGATATCTTATTATAATTTTTACTTTAACTCTGTTGTTGTCATACAGTACACTGTATATGATATCAAACCTTCTAACTTATTAATTCAATATCATGTTGGTCATAGATTATATTCTACATAATGTTGATGCTTTGAAATTTATTAAAATTTGTTTTGGGTCTCAGAATATGCTCCATCTTGACGAATGTTGCATGTCTCCACAAGAAGAATATGTATTCTGCTTTTCTGTGGTATACTGTCCTATAATGTAAAGTAGGTAAATTTATGGTTTCACTCTATCCCCACCCCAATCTCATCTTGATTTATAGTTCCCATAAATCCCATGTGTTGTGAATCATGGGGGTCGTTTCCCTCATAATGTTCTCATGGTAGTGAATAAGTCTCACGAGATAGGATGTTCTTATAAGGGGTTTCCCCTTTCACTTAGCTCTCATTATCTCTTTGCCTGCCACCACGTAAGATGTGCCTTTCACCTTCCACCATGATTATGAGCCCTCCCCAGCCATGTGGAACTGTGAGTCCATTAAACCTCTTTTCCTTTATAAATTACCCAGTCTTGGGTATGTCTTTATCAGCAGTGTAAAAATGGACTGATACTGTTGATAATGTTGTTATAGTCTTATATGATTTCATGGCTCTTATACTTGATGATTTTGTTCTCTATTTGTAATAAATTACTGAGAGGTAGGTGGTTAAATTTCCAACCATGATTGTAAACTTGTCTATGTCTTTCTTTGTTCCTCATTTTTTTTTTGTTTCATGTATTTTGAAACTCTGTTTTTAGTTTAATAATGATTTAATATTGTTATATGTTCTTGATGAATTGATCCTTTTTATATCACTTCTACTTGTTCTTCTCTATATTTAGTAACAATTTTTATCTTTAATTTTACTTTTTAATTAATATAGCCATAGAATCTTTATTATGCTTAGGATTTCATAGCATAATCTTTACACCCACTTACTTGCAACTTATAGTATATTTATATTTAAAGAGCATTTTTGTAATACAGTGATCTGTTTCTTTTCTATCAAGTCTGATAATCTGTGCATTTTTATTAGCTTGCTCAGCCAATTTATATTTAATCACATTATTAAAGTCCCTTAATTTAAATTATGTCATTTATTGCTATTTGTTTTTTATTTATATAATTTCTTTTGATTTTTCTGTTCCTTTTTTCCTATCTACTTTTGGACAAATCAATAATTTTTTAGTATTTCATTTTAGTTGCTCTGAGAATGTTTTAGGTGTCGCTCTTTGTGTTCTTTTATTGGTCATTCCATAAGTTTCAATGCATATTTTAATATTATGATAATTTATTTTTAAAAATTACTTTAAGAACAATACAGCAAACTTAAAATAGTACAATTCCATTTATCTCTCCTCCTCTCCTTTGTGATTTTGCTGCTTTATATTTTTCTACAGTGCTATGAAATTCACAGGACATTGTTTTTGTTCTTGTTTAAATAATTAACAATTAAAATATATGTCATATTTTTAAAAGGTATTTTATATTTACTGACATATATACGGTTTATATTGCTGCTGCTTCTTATCCCAGAACTAGAATTCCATGTAAAATTATTTTCTTTAACTTGGGAATTATAATTTAGCATTTATTAAGGTGCTGGTCTGCTGAAGACAAATTATCTGAGAATTTGAAATTCTGAAAATATCTTCCCTTTACCTTCAGTTATTAAGCATGTTTTTACTGGAGATAGATTCTAGGTTCATTTCCCCCCATACTTCAAATATAGCTTCCCGTATTGGAGGCCTCTGCCCTCCATTATTTACATTGAAAAGGCAACTGTTATTTGTAGCCCTGCTTCCATGTTTATATTGTACCTGTATTCTCTTGCTGTTTTTAACAGTTGCTGTTTGCTGCTCATTTTCAGTCCTCTCTCCTTTGAAGAAAGTTTTGCCCATATCAATAAGGATAAGAAAGGAAAGATAAGATTGAATTAACTATCATTCTCTAAGTGATAATTAACTACCACAGCAGTAAACGATCATACTCTAAACTCTCCCAATTATAGTGGGGACTTTGCACCTATGTAATGACAGGGTCTTTTGGGAGTGATTATTCTTTCCCCTTATACAAGGTCCCTTCTTTATGACACTAAGATGCAGTAACTGAGAGTAATTGTTTTGTCCCCACCCTACCTGGTAGATTTTGCTCCCCCTAACCCTTATACACATGCCTGTTTTCATTCTGGCTACAGAAGAGGTTCCTTTTTGCCTTCTTTAATCAGAGTCCTGCATTAAGAAGGCAAATGTTTAAGCACCAATCTGTAGCATATGCCATCATAGGATTATTCCTATTAGAACACCAAGTAGAGATCACACTCAGAAACCACTACAGGAAAAGTTGATGCAGTAAAATTTTTAAATGATTTTTGCAAATACCAACTTGATGTATTGGTATTGCACTCTTTCCAACTTAACATTTATTTTGAAACAGCGTAGACAATAACTTCACTCCTACAGTAAACTCATGCTTATCTTAGCACTAAGTCCATGACCTGGTACCCCTCTGGAACAGCTCCAATTAACATCAAGCTCATGGCTACTTTTCAACACTGTTTCAACCACCTTCCGGTTGGTCTCAGGGGGAGCACCCACTCCAGGGTATGTAGAGACCCATGATTGAAATTTCAGAACTAAACTTTTGTTTTGCTTTTCATCTTCCTTTGTGAAAGTTGCAGAGTACCACATGTTGACCTCTGATAAAAAGCAAGTTAAAAATAGAATTTTCTCAGTGAAAGGCATCTGAGGACAAAAAATAACTCCCTAATAACTAGGAATAAAAAATATACAAGAGCAGATTAATATCTTGATTCCCAGGGCCAGAGGGCTTACCAAATTCTAATGGACCTATTCTCAAATTAGATGTCTTTGCTGGATTATGTAACTGCATTAATTCGCCACTTCATCTTAAAATGAGTTCATTTTTGGTGAAAGATTCGTGAAGGGATTAAATGGAAGTGACAATAATAAACTGAATAAAGCTCACAGTGCCAATTGCAAAGCTCAAAACTTGGCCAAAGGGAGAAATATGACGTGGTTAATACCACCTAAAGGCTACCTTAATTGACAAGTTTTTTGAAAAAAAAAAGTAACTTTCTGCACTTGGCTAGATGTTTTTATTTCTCTGTGTCCTCCTAGGAGATTTAGGAGGAAGTAGACAAGAATTAGGGTCCTTAGCACATTTTAAATATGTCAGCAGCCATCCCCTACCTATGGTTCAGCCTGGGAAAGAAAGAAACCAAGACATTTAAAAAGAGTTTATGAGAAATCTTTTCATCATCCCTCTTGGAGATTGTCTTCAAATGGGTCTTCTTTAAATCTGTGATAAGACAAGATGCTTTTTTGTACTTAATGTAGGCATGACTGAAATTAAGAGCAGGAGAAGTACGTCCAGTTTCAAGTATACAGGAAGGCAACAGGATCAGGCTTTTAGTACATGCTTAAAAGCGTTGTCTTTCTATGAGAGTTTTCATGTAAGTAGAACTTGAGATTGAGTGATAACTTTCTGATCTTCCTTTGTTGCGGAGCTAGTAGAGGCTGTTAAATGGTGTTCTCATATAGCTCTGAAAACAAAACAAAACAAAACAAAAAAGCTCTGAAGGACCGGCAACAGTATCATTTGCTGCCATAAACTTCAGTGTGCATTCCAATGAACAGCAACAAGGCAGTAAATAGTCAAGATATTTTGATTCTTGTCACTCTTATTTGAGATACATGTGACTTAAGGTACCTGCAGTTTTCATCAACGTTTGCAGCCTTTATATCACTGACTGCTAACAGAGTACTATCAGAAACCTATTACAGAGATGAGAATGGTTTTATGTTCAGTTGCAGCATTCTAAAAGATGTAACACCACTTGTACATTTCATCATCTCAATTCAAAATACTCTAGTGACAAAGTGTCAGTAGTACACACTTCCCATTGAAAAAAATGGCTTGAAACTAGATTTTTGGTAAAAACAGCAGAAATGGAAAAGTGTACTGTACATGTGTAAATTTAAAATTGTCCAGGTGCTGGTGATTATCAATTAATTTTTGCTTAGATATGCAATTATAGTCCTTCCAATTAGAGTTAACATTAAAATATTATAATCCTGCCTTCTATGTATATTATAGAAGCTGGTTTTATAAACCTATATAAATGGGAAATTATTACTAAAACAAAAGTAAATAAAACGAAGATAAAATAATTTTGGGAAATTCTTTTGAGTTTAGAATTTCAAGTATATAGAAAACGGACAGCAAAAGCTGGAAAAATATTTCAGAAAAAGATAAAGGTACTTTTAGCTGACCTTTATCTTAATTAAATATGATTCATTGCTATAAAGAGAGAATTGAACATTTTTAAGTCTCCTTCAAAGTAGAAATTTGTAAATCAATATTTAGTAAGGTTATTTTAAAAGTTTAAAAATTCTGATCTGTATTATGAACCTCAAATACCTGAGACAGGTCCCAGTCAATTTAGAAAGTTTATTTTGCTGAGGTTAAAGTTGCACACCCATGATACAGCCTCAGGAGGTCCTGACAACATGTGCCCAAGGTGGTCGGGCACACCTTGGTTTTATACATTTAGGGAGACATGAAACGTCAATCAATACATGTAAGATGTACATTGGTTCACTCCAGAAAAGTGAGACAATGCGAAACAGGGAGGGGGCTTCCTAGTAAGACAAAGAGTTGCATTCTTTTGATTTTCTTTCCAAAGGAAACAATCAGATATGCATTTATCTCAGTGAGCAGAAGGATGCCTTTGAATAGAATGGGAGGCAGGTTTGCCCTAAGCAGTTCCCAGCTGGACATTTCCCTTTAGCTTAATGATTTGGGGGTCCCAAAATTTATTTTCCTTTCGTATTTCCCTGTTTTTCCTTTTAAAATCATTCAAAGAAAGCATTTTAGAAGAAAATAAGTCTCTGTTCTCAGGCTTCATCTGATCTCTCATGGCTAGGATAGTTTATTCCTAGACAGGTAGGTCCCACATATTTAGAAAAGCTCATTTTTAGCAGGTTGTGAAGTCTCACATCCTACAAAGATAAAATAGGGGGAGGAAGAAAGAAAAACAACAACAAACAAAAAAAGAACAATCCTGGAAAATCATTATAGGCCATGTTACCCTGAAGTCCATACATCAGTAGACAGAGATGAAAGTGTCTTATGTATGTAAATAGGTTGCTGTTATTTTCTTCTATGGTTTAAGTTGTCTAGCTTCAGTTCATAGAGCTTTAAGAAAGCACAGCTTAATTTTCAGTGATTTCAAATTAGGAAAAATGAGGGGTGCGGAAAAGGAAAAGAAAGAAGGAAAAAAAATAAGAACGTTATTTTGGAGACTTGTAGCCAGGAAAAATTTTAGAATTCATTCCAACTGTAGAAAATAATACAAATTGAATACATTAGACAAGACTAGACTCTGACAACAGTTGTACTATAGTTTTTGAAACATAATTTTTCTCTCTCCAGTTTCCTGTTTTTACTAAAGACAAACCTGGGTAAGACCAATTTCCTTTATTATACTTGCCCTGATTATTTGTCTAAAGTGCAGCAAGAATAATTATTTTTTAAGATGGCTTTGATGGAACTTTGTTCCACAGAAGGACTCTCAGATAAGACTTTTGTAAAGCTGAGCACAGCCATGGCTTTGTACCACCGCATACCTATGAGTTAGGCAAATTCCTCTTCTCTTGAGGTCTCAAGATAACTTGGGGTTCTTGGGCTTGTCAGAAAATGACATTCTTTACTTACCAGAGGCCAGTAATCCTGGACAGGGACTGTGTAGACAACACAGAAGGCCAGTTTTCCCAAGGGGCTTTTATTGGCTCTGTAAGTCAATTTTGATTCCTTAAAGGAAAGCACACCATTCCAGTCAAAGCCTTGGTAAAATAACCAGTTTCTCCAATGCTGTCCTGTTGCAAAAAGAAATCATTCTTATTGAACTTATGCAAATAACTATATTGCCATAAGTTAAGAATACTCACAAACAGTTTCCAAATTCTGGAGAAATCATGTAGAGAGAAACAAATATGCTCCAAATTTTGTTCACAAAAGTACACTTTACTCAATTGTTAAAAGCTGCCAATAGCTCAAAAAAAAGTGTCCTTGACTCTGAAAAACTAAACAAAGGATCAGCAATGTTTTAAGCAAAAAAGTCAAAAAGATTACTTCAGTCCTTTATTAGTTCAGTCCATGCAGTTAACTCCTGTTCTGTTTGATATTCATAAACATTCCGGCTCTCCATGAGTACTGAAAGCTTTTCCTCTATTCTAATATCACAATCTCCAAAGTTATCACAACCCTACATTCAAGAACACCTCCTAGAGTTTCATAGCTGATTATAAAACCACCTTGTAAAGAGGACCAAATTAAGACAATTGTCCATGGATGGCAAAAAGTTTTAGGGCAGCCATAGTCAAAGATACAATTGACAAGGAAATTTGTTACTTCTGTTGCACACAATAATTTAACATAACAATTATAATTATTAATAACATATACTAACTCATATCAGAATTATAGGAGTTTCCCATAATTTTGGAACACATACCAATAACATTTATGTAAATACAGCCTAAAGAAAGCCAAACACCATTTCATATTTGACAATACTTCCAGTATGATTTTTACACAAAATAAGCTGAATATGTCTCTTTTGGACTTCAGGGGACTAATATCAAAACACATGAAAAAATGCTCATCATCACTGGCCATCAGAGAAATGCAAATCAAAACCACTATGAGATATCATCTCACACCAGTTAGAATGGCAATCATTAAAAAGTCAGGAAACAACAGGTGCTGGAGAGGATGTGGAGAAATAGGAACACTTTTACACTGTTGGTGGGACTGTCAACTAGTTCAACCATTGTGGAAGTCAGTGTGGCGATTCCTCAGGGATCTAGAACTAGAAATACCATTTGACCCAGCCATCCCATTACTGGGTATATACCCAAAGGACTATAAATCATGCTGCTATAAAGACACATGCACACGTATGTTTATTGCGGCATTATTCACAATAGCAAAGACTTGGAACCAACCCAAATGTCCAACAATGATAGACTGGATTAAGAAAATGTGGCACATAGACACCATGGAATACTATGCAGCCATAAAAAATGATGAGTTCATGTCCTTTGTAGGGACATGGATGAAATTGGAAACCATCATTCTCAGTAAACTATCGCAAGAACAAAAAACCAAACACCGCATATTCTCACGCATAGGTGGGAATTGAACAATGAGATCACATGGACACAGGAAGGGGAATATCACACTCTGGGGACTGTGGTGGGGTCGGGGGAGGGGGGAGGGATAGCGCTGGGAGATATACCTAATGCTAGATGACACGTTAGTGGGTGCAGCGCACCAGCATGGCACATGTATACATATGTAACTAACCTGCACAATGTGCACATGTACCCTAAAACTTAAAGTATAATAAAAAAAAAAAAAAATTAAAAAAAAAAAATTAATGAGAACCCAATTTAGAATTTGACTTTGGAAAGTTTGTCAAATATGAAAAGTTTAAAAGGCTTGATATCATAAAATAGGATCACAGATCATTGTGAAATAAAGTATTCATTTAACCAAAATGATCATTCAAATTTTTTTTTAAATAAAAAAACCTTTATTCTTTGAGAGAGGAGACTTAATTTCCAAAACAATAAGCCTTAATAAAAACAGCATGAGACCAATTAAATTTGTTTTCAAAATTTTATAAGCAATCTATACAATTTTAGTCATTTTGACCTAAGATATACTTTTCATAAGCCTTTTTATAACCTTTATAACCTTTATTAAGGAATGGGTTAATGCTCCAAGAAAACCTTGTTAATCTGACACAGGGGCCTATATACTGGACTTTCATCAGTGTGCCTTTGACATTAATGGTTAATTTATAGAGAAACAGAGCTTATTTTATCTCTCAAAATTGGCTCTCACACTCTCACATGCCCACTTCTTCCATGATAGTCCTAGGTCTTGAGGAGTTTTAATTTCTGGCCCTGTGTCTCATAAACACAGTTTATTGTGATTGGTATCTTCTACCAGGTCTGAAAATGAGGCTGTAACTGTGGTCAGTGTTTAAGATTTAGCAGGATTTAGTGTCCTTTTGAGACCCAGGGGTCAAAGCCCTGTAACTTAATGACACAAAAACTTTAAAAGCACATATAGGAAGTTATCCAGAGATAATAACCTTAATTTATTATTTTTTTAATCTACAGTTTTTTTAAGCAAACCAAACTTACTAATAATAACACAGGAATTTTTTCAATAAATAATAAGATTTGTTTATTAGGTCAATTACTCAAAGGAAAACAAAAGACCTACTGCAGTGCAACCGCTCTTCCCTATGGGGAATATTATGTTGGAAAGAAATATGTCCTTTGGACCTCTAAGATAAATGTTTTTCTTTTTGTTTTTTAATCAGTTAGAACCCAAAGGAAGAAAAAAAAGAAAAGAAAAAAATTTTTACAGGAGCTGAAAATGATCTGAAGGATACAGTTATTTTTTCAGGCCTTTGAAAAAGGGAGAGAAAGCTGAAAACAGCAAGATGCGATAAAAGTTAAACTTTGATTAAAAAAATTATAATGTCTTGTAATTTATTAAGAGTAAAGCAATGCCTTAAGAAAATTTTATAGTTCAAACCAATTTTTTAGTGTATAAGTGTTTTTTAAATTAAAACCCAATCTCTAGAAAGACCATTATAACATCCCTTTAATTGTAGACTACTTGACAATATAAAAGTTTTGGATTTTCAAAATAAATTCTCTTATTATGACTTACACAGACCGTTCATGACATGCTTGGACTTCCTGGTTTGTCCTAAACATTGCTTTCTTAAACAACCAGTCATTGTATTCTAGGAAAAAATTTACCAAACAAGATTCTTTCTCATATAAAATTATTTCTCTTTAAGCTTTCTTACCAAACAATAACTCTTTATTTCTATAACTTTCTTTACATCTCTCTTATTTTCTGTTTCCTCTTACCTTGTTTTTTACATAATCTTTAAATAAGCTGTGAATTAGACAAAAAAATTCACCTGTTTTAAAAGGACACACATTTTTTAGAAATAATGTTTTCCTGTGATATTTATTATTTGGAAATACCCAAATAATGAAATATATGTTATTTAATTTACTATAACTTTAGATTCTAAATTATGACAAGTTTGTCTACAAGTATTTATCCCATCACATTTACCTAATTATTTTATTTTATAGTTTATCTATATTCTTTATGAAAACTGTGATAGTTATCATTTAAAGTTATGAAACCACCATTGCAAAATTGTAACTGAGAAAGTGAAAAAGATATGACCAATTGACGCCATCTTGCTTCTAACCTCCAAGCTGACCTTGTTCATTCCTGGGCATAGGTCTAACTAACTTTGTGAGGAAGTTAGTTTAAAGTTTAGCTTTGAAACTAAGATGACAACAGTCTTTCCCTGAAACAAATCCCATTTTGGCTGGGAGACTAGACATTTTAAAGCCACAAAATTAGAAGTTATGGTTATTTTACTAAATAGTTTAAGGTTTAGCTATTTTCATTAAACCTTTATTCATGTCTTATTTGTCAAAAATTACACAAGCAAAGATCATTCTGTTTTGGGCTGGGTTTATAGTTTTGTAACACTTACGCAAAATTTTGACACCTAATAGTATTTGGCAGGGATAAGTGTGAAATCACTTGATCAATAAATTCAAACAAAAATGTATGCTGGCAATTCTTAAGACATTTCTAATACTACTTTACCAATAATTTTAAAGCTAGCTTATTTATTAAAGATTTTACTTAAGTCACATAAACTTGAAAAAGCATATGACTGGTCTTTCTTTGATTTAAGCTCTTGTATTTTTCTTAAGCCAATTAATTAGAGCTCTTTTGTATATATTTAGCAGTGAAACATTGTGTACAGAACACATAGATACATAGATGTATTAGACATGCCTATAGAAGTACATCTTATAGATTTATAAGACCTCTTTTTTTATTTTCAAATTTTAAATTCTTGATAACCTGTTTCATTACCCTTGGCAATTGTTACCCTACATCACTTTAAATTTGCATATTGAAGGAAATAACTCGTAGGTGAAAAATCAGATAGTAAAATTTACATCACAAAGTAGAGAGAGAAAAAGTCTAGTGTACTAGAGGGTAATTAAAACTGATTTAATTGAAATTTAAACATAAAAGTATAGAAATCTATCATAAAGGCCTTTTAAATATATATATACCCACACGTACACACCCTCACACACAAAGGTCCCATAACTTATGCTTCAGAACCCTAGCCATAAGATAATACAAATTTGGAAAACAAAACAAAAACAAAAACAAAAAACATTTGGATCCAAACAGTGTTTTTATCTCAGTGGAAAAGTAACATTAGCTTTAAAGCAGGCAGAAAATAAAATAAAGGAAAAAGGTAACTTAGGAACTCTATAGTTTGCAGGTTGACCTTAGGGCTCTTTTTGCTTGATGTAAATGTACACAAAGACCATAATATTTCCATTTTACACAAACTCTAGGAAGTAGAGGCACCATAAAACTAGCAGAGTGCCCCAAAGGGGGACATTCTCCTTGTTTTCTCCTCATTCTTAGATTGTTTCCCACTTTTGTTTCTTTCTTAAAAGAATAAACTGAACTGTGGTCTAGGGTTTTCGTGGAGTGGGTCCAAGTGTGTGCTGGTTGCAAGCAGGACTTCACAGTGTCACCAGTGAGTTATTACCACCCTCTTGCATGTCCCAGTTTCTCTCTCCAGAGGTCTAAGCACCTCCAGGAGGGCTCAAAGCGCTGAGTGAACAGCTCCTATATGTGCTTCCTGGACAAGCCTTTTTTAAACTAAATGTATTGGGAATTTCCTGTAGGGCCACTGCGTGTCATGGTGTGTCCGGAATTGGTGGGTTCTTGGTCTCACTGACTTCACGAATGAAGCCGCGGACCCTGGCAGTGACTGTTACAGCTCTTAAGATGGCACATCTGGAGTTTGTTCCTTCTGATGTTCGGATGTGTTTGGAGTTTCTTCCTTCTGGTTAGTTCGTGGTCTCGCTGGCTCAGGAGTGAAGCTGCAGACCTTCGTGGTGAGTGTTACAGCTCTTAAGGCGGAGCATCTGGAGTTGTTCGTTCCTCCCAGTGGGCTCGTGGGCTCGCTGGCTTCAGGAATGAAGCTGCAGACTTTTGCAGTGAGTGTTACAGCTCATAAAAGCAGTGCGGACCCAAAGAGTGAGCAGTAGCAAGATTTATTGCAAAGAGCTAAAAAACAAAGCTTCCACAGTGTGGAAGGGGACCGGAGCGGGTTGCCACTGCTGGCTCCCGCAGCCTGCTTTTATTCTCTTATCTGGCCCCACCCACATCCTGCTGATTGGTAGAGCCCAGTGGTCTGTTTTGACAGGGGCTGATTGGTGCCTTTACAATCCCTGAGCTAGACACAAAGGTTCTCCACCTCCCCACCAGATTAGCTAGATACAGAGTTTCAACACACAGGTTCTCCAAGGCCCCACCAGAGTAGCTAGATACAGAGTGTCGATTGGTGCATTCACAAACGCAGAGCTAGACACAGGGTGCTGATTGGTGTGTTTACAAACCTTGAGCTAGATACAGAGTGCCGATTGTTGTGTTTACAATCCCTGAGCTAGACATAAAGGTTCTCCAAGGCCCCACCAGAGTAGCTAGATACAGAGTGTCCATTGGTGCATTCACAAACCCTGAGCTAGACACAGGGTGCTGATTGGTGTGGTTACAAATCTTGAGCTAGATACAGAGTGCCCATTGGTATAATTACAATCCCTGAGCTAGTCATAAAGGTTCTCCACATCCCCACCAGACTCAGGAGCCCAGCTGGCTTCACCCAGTGGATCCCGCACAGGGGCTGCAGGTGGAGCTGCCTGCCAGTCCCGCGCCGTGCACCCACACTCCTCAGCCCTTGGGTGGTCGATGGGACTGGGCGCTGTGGAGCAGGGGGCGGCGCTCATCGGGGAGGCTGGGGCCGCACAGGAACCCACAGAGCGGGTGGGAGGCTCAGGCATGGCAGGCTGCAGGTCCCGAGCCCTGCCCCGCGGGAAGGCAGCTAAGGCCCAGTGACAAATCGAGCGCAGCCCCGGTGGGCTGGCACTGCTGGGGGACCCAGTACACCCTCTGCAGCCGCTGGCCCGGGTGCTAAGCCCCTCACTGCCCGGGGCCGGCAGGGCCAGCCGGCTGCTCCGAGTGTGGGCCTGCCAAGCCCACGCCCACCTGGAACTCCAGCTGGCCCGCAAGCGCGCGCAGCCCTGGTTACCACTCACGCCTCTCCCTCCACACCTCCCTGCAAGCTGAGGGAGCCGGCTCTGGCCTTGGCCAGCCCAGAAAGGTGCTCCCACAGTGCAGCAGTGGGCTTAAGGGCTCCTCAAGTGCCGCCAAAGTGGGAGCCCAGACAGAGGAGGCGCTGAGAGCGAGCCAGGGCTGTGAGGACTGCCAGCATGCTGTCACCTCTCAGTGGGAAGGTCAAACCCCTGACACTCTCATGAGGCCCCTGTTCACCAAGAAGCACCTTTCGGCTGGGAGGAGCAAAATGCCCTTTCTCTTTGGAGCTGAGGAAACTCAGTCTCTTATTTACGTGTGAAAACAACAGTTCAATTCTTCACACAAATGTTCACAGACAAGCCAAATCGAGATTAATTTGGGGAGAAAAAGCAATGGAGAAGTCCCTTTGGAAAGCATCTCTGAACCAGAAGGAGGATTCTTAAACAACAACTTCCTAAGAAAAAAAAGAAAAAAAAAAAAACAGCCAAGACCACTTCCTGTATTTTGTAGCCCTTGTCTGCCATTACATACACCAAGGTCAAATCCTCTCACAGTACAAGGTAATCTCTAGTACCCCCAAAGCCAAATAGGTCAGGTAATGCAATACAGGAAAGCAGAGCTTTAGACCTAAGAAGAATCTGCTCATGACTCTTGAAACTCCACAAAGAAAACAGAACACCCCAAAAGGGGTGAGTGGTACTTTGTTCTGAGTTCTTTAAGGGATTTGAGTCACTAGAAGCCTTCTCTATATTTTTCTTGGTACTGAAGACAGCAAAGGAGATATAGGGTGGAAGAAAAGTAAACAAAGTAACAATTTTTTTAAGACAAGAAGGAAACACAGAAACCAAGCACATGGTTTTATCTCCCTCTTTTTGCAGCTGAGAGGAATTTTAGCTAATTCAGAGAGGCCTTGTTACCCATAATTTGGAATTCTCATTTGGATTTTGTCAAGTCAGGTAGAGTTAGTCAAATCTGACTGCAGAAAGACCAGAAGAAACAACAAAAAATCCCCTACAATATGATCACTGAGCACTTTAATGGTTAGGAGAAATTAAAATCAGCTGGTTGTTAATCTTAACTTTAGCCAAGACATAAATAAACCCCAATTCAGTTACTTACCTAGGGATGGGTCTCAGGCTGAAGACTGCTCTCTACCACACTAGAAGCGGGAGAAAACTTAAACCTGCCTTCCCCATTGGAAGTGAGCTCAAACTCCAGAAAGGAGTTACCTGCCTTCCATTATCATGAAAGCAGGAAAACTTGCCTTTCTGTTGGAGGCAAGTAAAACTCCAAAAAAAAAAAGGTGTTGTATAGTAAAATAAACTTTAGATCTCAACTAAATTTGAGGAGATCAGGGATTTTCTGGAGGTGGGGGCTTCCAGGCCTCAGCAAATTGTCCTATTGGTTTGAGCCATAAAGATAGCTAAAACTGGTACCAAACACCAATAAAAGGTTTGTCAAAGTTCAGGGGCACCTCCACTCAGAATCCCTCCATGGTTAACAAATGTGAACCCCAAATATCTGAGACAGGTCTCAGTCAATTTAGAAAATTAATTTTGCCAAGGTTAAGGACACAGGCCCATGGCACAGCCTCAGGAGGTCCTGATGATGTGTTCCCAAGGTCGTCAGGGCATAGCTCGGTTTCATACATTTTAGGGAGACATGATATTAACAGTGGAAGGTATCTGAGTTACCAGCAGCAAGTCTATATGGGTCTGCAACAACCTCAATTCTTGCCTCCTCAGAAGAAGGAATTTGCCTGAGGGGCATAAAGCAGAAAAAGAGACCAAGCCGAGATTCAGAGCAAGATTGGAAGTTTATTTTAAAAAGGCTTTAGAACAGAAAAGAAAGAAAGAAAAGTATGCTTGGAAGAGATCCAAGTAAGCACTGAGGTCAAGTGCAGTGTTTAACCTTGATTCTAGGACTTTATAGGCTGGCCCCTTTCCCATGATTGTTCCCTTAGGGTGGGCTCCCTTCATGCCCAGTGCCCTCTTTACCCTTGGAAGGTGAGCACGTGCAATGTGTTTAGGTAGTTGTATGCATGCCCTTCTGAGCCTTTCTTCCCTTCTCCAGTGGTGTGCCCCTGGAAGGTCATACTCTGCTATTTTGTCACTTAATGCACATGCCGGGGAAGTTGTGTCTTGCTGGTGCCTGCATTCAGTTAACTCTTTAGTGCAAGACCATCAGGAAATGACCTCTCCCTGACACCGGCTGCCAATTATTCACTTTTAGAGAGGCAGTGTGATCATTGTCAAACCATCACCTGGCATTCCTAGTGGCTGGGAGAAGAGACCTCTCCTGCCCCGCCCGTGCATGCCTGTCTAACTACCTGTAACAACTAGATAACAATCAATATATGTAAGATGTACATTGGTTTGGTCTGGAAAGATGGGACAACTCGAAGCAGGGAGGGGGCTTCCAAGTAAGCGACAAAGGGTTGCATTCTTTTGAGTTTCTGATTAGCCCTTCCAAAGGAAACAATCAGATATGCGTTTATCTCAGTGAGCAGAGGGATGACTTTGAATGGAATGGGAGGCAGGTTTTCCCTAAGCAGTTCCCAGCTTGACTTTTCCCTTTAGTTTACTGATTTGGGGAGTCCCAAGATTTATTTTCCTTTCATAGTATTATCCCTCCATGTATGTTGCAAATGCATTAAAAATTCCCTAAAAGGGTTTATACCTGAATGGGGAAAAATAGCTTTAACTCCAATTTAAATAAAAAAGCAGGATTAAATACAGAATATTCAATAGGAGCATTTTCTAAATTGAAAACTGTAAGTCTTTCTGAAATATAAACCCTAAATTGTAATATTTCTTGGTCTAATCCTTATTCTGTACTATAAATCAAAGCTTTATCCAGGGAACACAAATGCAAATAGAAATGAGTTTATGATTCTGAGATGGTTTAAAGATGAGTAAAATCCAGGATGAGGTTAAAAAATCTGAGTATATATTTAGATTCTAAAATGCTGAAGTCAAGTAGCAGTTTTCTGCGTTAAATTCAAATTTCATTCAGGGGCCCTATCAAGTTGCATCCCTTTCTCCTGTTTCTCACATTCCAGTTACAGTCAACTCCTTGCTTTCTGTCCTGTGAAGCAATGCCTCCAGGTACCTTTCCAGGACAGAACATTCTTTCAGTGTAGGAAGATTTTGTCAGGAAGCATTCTTAGTTAACCCCATTCTGCCCATTCATGTTCTTATTGTGAGTTGACTTAATTTGCTGCTATAGGGGAAGAAAAATATTTTTTCAACCCTCATAAATTCTTATTTGGAATTAACCCCTGTAACAAAAGACACATTAACAAGAGAAAAAAAATAGTTTACTAATATGAACATTTCATATATGCATGGGAGATATCAGAGGAATGAGTAGTTCTCAAAGAGTGGCTTTGAGTTCCAGCTTATGTAGAATCTTCAACAAAGAACAGTAAATTTTCAGACAAGTGACAAGACACAGGGAAAGGACTTTGCCTCTCCATGGGTGTCAACCTGTGGAAAGGCAAATAACTGGCAGATAAAGGCTAGTTAGTAAAGCTGCTTCTTCTTTTTTTTTTTTTTTGAGATGGAGTCTTGCTCTGTCGCCCAGGCTGGAGTACAGTGGCGCAATCTCGGCTCACTGCAAGCTCCGCCTCCCGGGTTCATGTCATTCTCCTGCCTCAGTCTCCTGGGTAGCTGGGACTACAGGTGCCCGCTACCACACCCAGCTAATTTTTTGTATTTTTAGTAGAGATGGGGTTTCACCATGTTAGCCAGGATGGTCTCGATCTCCTGACCTTGTGATCCGCCCGCCTCGGCCTCCCAAAGTGCTGGGATTACAGGCTTGAGCCACCGCGCCCTGGGCAGTAAAGCTTCTTAATATAAATTCCTCTGGCACCATCTCCAGGCAAATAAAGGTCTTATGTTTCCTTCAGTGGTTTACCATTGTTCTCTCTAGGGTGTGTGGAGTTGGGAGGGTGAACCTTTTGTCTTTGTAATTCTATGTCTTGCTTTTAGGCAAATGGAGGGTAGAAAGCTCTTCTGCATGGGCTTCTTGTTAATTGCTGTCAGCTCAAAAATCCTTCATATTTGGGGGTGACATATTCTGGTCTCCCACACTCCAAAATGGCTTCCTGTAACACCAATTTATTTGGTGCTGATTATGTGCAATTTTTAAAAATAAGTAGCCTACTGGAACATAAGAAATAATCATCTTTATCCACAATATCCAAATGCCACATTCTCCATAGAGCTTTCTCTGTTCACCTACTTGGAATTACATTCCACATTTTTTCATCTTTATAA
Source organism: Homo sapiens (assembly GCF_000001405.40). Classification (NCBI taxonomy): domain Eukaryota; kingdom Metazoa; phylum Chordata; class Mammalia; order Primates; family Hominidae; genus Homo; species Homo sapiens. Next base: position 146,871,532 of record NC_000023.11, read on the forward strand.
TTACTTTGCAACTTTTGCTAATTTATATTTATTATGCTATGTGTTGTGGTTACTTGTTTGTGTGTGTGAGACATATTTCTGGGTTTATATTTAAATAGAATTAAAATAATAAGAGTAATCTATATTTTGCTTGCTTGCTCTTTTCTTCTACCTGGTAATTCAAATCCCAGACTTCTACAAAGATCTCATTCTCACTTATATCTGAGAAAACCAATGGAGTAGGTCATGGATGCTTATGAATGAAATCTGTGTTACTATATGATAGTGACCATGTGACTTCTTATTCTCTGAATTTTCTCCCATTAATCACCACTGATGCTGACAAATTAGAGGTTGGTCTAAGATTTCTAAGAGTCCTTAATATTCTTGTATTCTTGTGTTAATAGCTTTTTCAGTTTCTTCTTGCAGCCTTCTCTAACCTAGAGCTCAGAAATCAGTTTACTGAAAAAGGACAGAGAATAAAAATTGAGACAAGCACTCTACTGTTCTCCACGTTCATTCAAGCACTCACAGGCTTAACATAATTGTGTATATATATTTCTGCCTTTCTGCTCCAACCAGGCCAAAATTTAAACCCAGCCATTTCTAAATTTAGGGAGTGAATGTGGCTGATATGGAAGCCACGGCCTCTGGTATACAACTGTACCCTAAAGAGCCTTTGAACTCTGTAGACTCTGAGGATACTGTCTTCTGCATCTGCATGTCCAACAGCAACCAGCACAGTGCTTGGCATATACAATGTGCTCAATATATCTAGGTTGAATAAATGCGTTATCTCCAATGACTTGTAATGTAAATTCTATGAGTAATAGAGTCTTACTACAGTTCTTTAATTTACCCACATATATAGTGCCATAATCTATAAAAAGCTGCCTTTGAGTTAAGAGATTTCAATTTTAAAACAGAAAATTGTAATTGTGTAATAAATGCTAGAGATATAGTCTTCATACTGATTTTAAAACCCACATTACTCTCATGTGATTATATTTACTCTACTTTTCTTCCTAGTTCAAACTCTTGAAATGTGGCCTATGTTTTTCTTCTTTACATCCTCAAATCCTATCCTCTGCAAAACCTACTGCAATTTGGCTTTTGCTTTAACCGCACACTAAAATTGTGCTTACCAAGGTCACCAAAATCATCCTAATTGCTTAATCCAATAAACAGCCTTCATTCCATGCCTTAGTTGAGCACTTTACACAAGTTGATTAAGTGAACAATAATTCTATCTTTAAAATATTTATTTCTTGGTTTACATGAGACTGTATTACATGATATACTTACACGATACAGAAAGGTGGCTCAAATAATGGCAGAGATTAAATTTCCTGATAGCCAAGATAGGTGTTTGAAGCACCTTTAATATGATTTAGAGAAATTTTAAAATGTAATTTATCATTTCTCCAAAAGGTTAGTATAATTTATACTAAATATATTATACTTTATATATATTACAAGGCCCATAAGCAAGAGAGAGTATGGCATATGTTATATACTTAAAGTAATTCAGAACCTTAGCAGTGTAGTGTAGTCTAATCTAAGAGCTGGCAAATAATTAGGTAGCAAATTATGGAAGAAAGGAGGTGGAAGGTTTTCTGAGTGCATCTCAGTCCTAAGAGACATCGTGTGAAAGAGTAGTTGGAGAAAAAATATGACATGTCTGAGTAACTTCAAGAAATGTGTTGTTCATGAACTATTTCCAGTAGCATTTTGATAACAAAATTTGAAACATAAAAGAGAGAACTGGGTTGGAGATGTGAAAGGAAAATAAATCTTTGGACCCCGAAATCACTAAGTTAAAGGGAAAAGTCAAGCTGGGAACTGCTTAGGGCAAACCTACCTCCTTCACAATTTGCCTAAAGGAAATTACTTGTGGACAAAGGACAGATAGAACTCAAAGTCATCCCTCTGAGGCTCACCTGAGACAAATATATATCTGATTGCTTCCTCTGCCATATTGTTTATGTAAAAATGCAGATTCATGGAGATAGACTAAATTGTATATTCAGTAGAAAGCTGATCAAGGATTCAAAAGAATGCATCCTTTTGTCTCTTACCTACTTCTAACCTGGAAGCTCCCACTTCCAGTTGTCCCACCTTACTGGACTGAACTAATGAACACATTACACATATTGAATGATGTCTTATGTCACTCTAAAATGTATAAAAGCAAGTTGTACCCCGACCACCATGAGCACATGTCATCAGGACTTCCAGAGGCTGTGTCACAGCTGTGTCCTTACTTTGGCAAAATAATATTCCCAAATTAACTGAGACTTGTGTCCGATATTTGGGGTTCACAGAGAGTTGGTATTTATCAGCTTATATTAATAGAAAATATGAGAATATTTACAGAGAAGAGAAAAGGTCTTAGGACAAATTTATCAATACTTAAAGATGGAGAAAGAGCTGAAGGCTGCAAAATGATAAAGAAAGAGACACTAGAGGAATGAGAAAGAATCAGGAGAATATCCTATCAAGTAAGCCAAGAAATGAATATTTTAAAGACAGAGTTGTTGTTAACTTAATCAACATCTGTAAAGGGCTCAACCAAGGCATGTAATGAAGACTGTTTATTACATTTAGCAATTAGGATGACTTTGGTGACCCTAGCAAGCACAATTATAATGTGTAGTTAAAGCAAAAGCCAAATTGCAGTAGGTTTTGGAGAGGATAAGATTTAAGGATATAGAGAAGAAAAACATAGGACACATTTCAAGAGTTCGAACTAGAAAGGAAAGTAAATACAATCACATGAGAGTGATGTGGGTTTCAAGATTACTGTATGGAGACCATATCTCCATATTCCCTCTGCTTACATGGGTTTAAAATAATTTCAGGTTTACATTTTGCTACCAAAAAAGGGGGAGGGGACCCTGTTCTTAGTTATAATTGTTGTCCTAGAAATACTTATTATCCAAGTTCATGTAGTCCATTTAACATGGAAATTACCAATGTTTTTGTGCCAAGCATGTGAACAGGGATCTTCTCTTTAGCTCCCAAGGATATGGGACTTGGTATTAATTCTTGACCACCTGCTACTTGATATAGTTTGGCTGTGTCCCCACCCAAATCTCATCTTGAATTGTAGCTTCCATAATCCCCACATGTCCTAGGAGGGACCTGATGGGAGGTAATTGAAATATGGGGTCAGGTCTTTCCCATGCTGTTCTCCTGATAGTGAATAAGTCTCACGAGATCTGATGCTTTTATAAAGGGCAGTTCCCTTGCTCACACTCTCTTGCCTGCCACCATGTAAGAAGTGCCTTTGCTTCTCTTTTGCCTTCCGCCATGATTGTGAGGCCTCCTCAGCGATGTGAAACTGTGATTCCATTAAACTTCTTCCCTTTATAAATAACCCAGTCTTGGGTATGTGATTATTAGCAGCATGAGAACAGATTAATACAGTAAATTGGTACCAGGTAGTGGGGCACTGCTGTAAAGATATCCAAAAATGTGGAAGCAACTTTGGAACTGGGTAACAGACAGAAGTTGGAACAGTCTGGGGGGATCAGAACAATACAGGAATATGTGGGAAAGTTTGAAACTTCTTAGAGACTTGAAGGGCTCAGAAGACAGAAAGATGTGGGAAAGTTGGGAACTTCCTAGAGACTTGTTGAATGGCTTTGAGCAAAATGCTGATAGTGATATGGACAATAAAATCCAGGCTGAGGTGGTCTCAGATGGAGATGAGGAACTTCTTGGGAACTGGGACAAAGGTGATTCTTGTTATGCCTTAGCAAAGAGACTGGTGGTATTTTACCCCTCCCTGCCCTAGAGATCTGTGGGACTTTGAACTTGAGAGAGATGATTTAGGGCATCTGGTGGAAGAAATTTCTAAGGAGCAAAGTGTTCAAGAGGAAGCAGAGCATAAAAGTTTGAAAGATTTGCAATCTGAGGATGTGATACAAAAGAAAAACCCATTTTCTAGGGAGAAATTCATGCTGGCAGCAGAAATTTGCATAAGTAACCAGGCACCAGATGCTAATCACCAAGACAATGAGAAAAATATCTCCAGGGCATGTCAGATACCTTTGCATCAACCCTTCCCCTCAGAGGCCTGGAGGCCTAGGAGAGAAAAATTGTTTCCTGGGCTGGGTCCAGGGACCCCCTGCTGTGTGCAGACTCTGGACTTGATGCCCTGCATCACCACCACTCCAGGCTCAAGCCATGGCTAAAAGGGGCCAAGGTACAGCTTGGGCTGTGCCTTCTGAGGATGCAAGCCCAAGGTATTGGCAGCTTTCATGTAGTGTTGAGCCTGTGGGTGCACAGAAATCAAGTATTGATGTTTGGGAACCTCTGCCTAGATTTCATAGAATATATGGAAATGCCTGGATGTCCAGGCAGAGGTGTGATGCAGGGGCAGAGCCCTCATGGAGAACCTCTGCTAGGGTAGTGCAGAGTGGAAATGTGGGGTGGGAGCCCTCACACAGAGTTCCCACTAGGGCACTGCCTAGTGGAGCTGTGAGAAAAGGGCCACCATCCTTCAGACCATAGAATGGTAGATCCACCTGCAGCTTGCACCATGTGCCTGGAAAAGCTGCAGACACTCAATGCAAGCCCATGAAAGCAGCTGGGAGTGGGGCTGTACCCTGCAAAGCCGCAGGGGTGGAGCTGCCCAAGACCATGGGAACCCAGCTCTTGCATCAGCGTGACCTGGATGTAAGACATGAAGTCAAAGGAGATTATTTTGGAGCTTTAAGATTTGACTGCCCTGCTGGATTTTGGGCTGGCATGAAGCCAGTAGCCCCTTCATTTTGGCCATTTTTTTCCATTTGGAATGGGTGTATTTACCCATTGCCTGTACCCCCATTGTATCTAGGCAGTAACTAACTTGCTTTTGATTTTACAGGCTCATATGCCTGTAAAAGGAACTTGCCTTTTCTCAGATGAGACTTTGGACTGTGGAGTTTTGAGTTAAGACTTTGGTGGACTGTTGGGAAGGCATAATTGGTTTTGAAATGTGAGGCCATGAGATTTGGGAGGAGGCCAGGGCTGGAATGATATGGTTTGGCTCTGTGTTTCCACCCAAATTGTATCTGTAATTGTAGCTCCCAAATCCCCACATGTCATGGGAAGGACCTGGTAGCAGGTAATTGAATCTTGGGGGCAGGTTTTTCCTGTGCTTTTCTCCTGACAGTGAATACATCCTATGAGATCTAATGGTTTTATAAGGGGGAGTTCCCCGTACATGCTGTCTTGCCTGCCACCATGTAAGACATGCCTTTGCTTCTGCTTTGCCTTCCACCATGATTGTGAGGCCTCTTGAGCCAGTGGAACTATGTGTCCATTAAACCTCTTTTTTTTATAAATTACCCAGGCTCAGGTATGTATTTATTAGCAGTGTGAGAACAGACTAATACACTATCCCTCCCACTCCATATGCATATATGGTTATACCACTTATTCAGAGGTTCCCTCACCACTTAGGATGCTGTGCTGGAGTTAAACCTAAGTTCCCTAGCATTCTTATAAACCCCAATCTCTAGTTCCACCCAATCTTTCTAGGAAAATCACCATCTCCTCACAATATTCAGACCATTTACCTTTGCTTTATTCAGAGAATTAGCATCCATACGTTTTTATCTTGAAAATATTCACCACAATCTTCTTTAAAGGATTTGACACATAAAGAATCGTAACTTTCCTGCAAACGTGTTACTGGAGATATGAGTATAGATGTAGTGAACTCACTCCTGTATAAACGAACATGGGCCCTTCTCTTCCATGGTTGGGGGAAAGAAGTGCCTTAGTTTTTATTTATTAAGAAACCAAATGCTTACATACTATGGGTAGAAATGTAGATTACCTCAGCCACTGTGGAAAGCAGTTTGTAGATTTCTCAAAGAACTTAGAACTATCATTCCAGCCAGCAATCCTGTTACTGGGTATATATCCAAAGGAATATAAATTGTTCTACCATAAAGACTCATGCACACATATGTTGATTGCAGCACTATTCACAATAGCAAAGACATGGAATTAACTTAGAAGCCCATCAAGGGTGGACTGGACGAAGACAATGTGGTACATATAGCCATGGAATACTACGCAGCTATACAAAATGAGATGATGGCCTTTGCTGCTACATGGATGCAGTCAGAGTCCATTACCCTAAGCAAATTAATGTAGGAACAGAAAGCCAAATATTGGGAGTTTTCACTTATCCATGGGAGCTAAACATTGAGTACTCATGAACATAAAGATGGGAATAATAGACTCTAGGGACTACTGAAGTGGGGAGACAGAGAGAAGAGCAAGGGCTGAAAAACTACCTAACAGGTACTATGCTCACAACCTGTTCAGTTGCCATGCAGAGGTGTTTTTCACTTGGCATTTTTCTAGGTCCCAGACTCCATAATCTACCAATTACATGACCTTATCTAACTTGTTTCTTCGAGAGATGAACCCTTCAATGTCTTTCACAGTCTTTCAAAGAATCTGAAGAACTGATATGAATCAAATCAAACCACTAAAAGCCTGGTGCTTAACCATTGCCCTGAGATCTAATCTGGGAGTGGACAAATATTTGTTATATTTCTGATAAGGTACACACTAGCTGTGACTTTTAGCAAAGTCAACTTCAATATTTGATACTCATTTTTCTCCTTCATAAGATAAATATAATAGTATACATTTCAAAGCATTGTTATGATGATTAAATGAGATTATAAATAAAATTGAGCATTTACCATAAACCTGGTACATAGTAAAGGGCCAATAAAATGTAGCTATATAATTATTTACTAAAACTTTATTTTGATGATATAGTCCATAATTTCCTCTGCAAAATTCTCATAGTTAGAACTCCATGACTAGAACTTTTAAAACAATTCTGTACTATATCCTCAGAGGAGTGACAGCGAATTCTTCAAAATGTTTTTCCAAAACCTAGGCTCTCAGAAGGAGGAAGCTCATGTTATTTTTTCCGGCCCAATCGCGAGTTGGTTGCATAAATTATCTTCAAGGCAATAATGTCTTTTTACTCTGCGTATTTTTACGTTAAATTAATGCAAATGAACAATAACATGAAGATATAATTAAGCACAGTATCTAAGAAATAAGGAGATGTAGCCAGGCACAGTGGCACATGCCTGTAATCCTAAAGCTTTGGGAGGTCTAGGGAGGAGGATTGCTTTAGGCCAGGAGTTTGAGACTAGCCTGGGCAACATAGACAGCCCCTTTCTCTACAGGAAGAAAAAAAAAATAGCTGGGCATTGTAACTAGTCCCAACTTCTTGGGAGGCTGAGACAGGAGGATTGCTTCAGCCCGGGAGTGCAAGGCTGCAGTAATTTAGGATTTGTCACTGAACTCCAGCCTGGGTAACAAAGCGACATGTTGTCTCTAAAAAAATAATTAATTAAAAGAAAACAATAAACAAATCCAGTGAGTAATTCCAATTGGACTGGTTTTACAACCTCATGATAGTGAGATTTAGGAGAAAATAATAAATTCCTTTATGAAGAACAAATATTTAGGCCCTACAGTCAATTCTCTCAATTCTATGTTCCAATGTTTGCAAATATACCCTCACTGTAGCTTATTAGAGTGTGACCATCTGTGATACTTTTGCAGATTCTTAAACAATTGCCACATTTCAAAGGTCATACATGGAAAGTGATTAAGAATTCTTAGACAAAAATCAGCATTGATTTTAATAATATTATTTACAAAGGCTATTTTCGTAGGGTGACTTTTATGAGACAAGTATATTACAGTTGGCCCTCCATAGTTGTATGTTCCACATCTGCAGATTCAAACTGTCACACATGGAAAATATTTTGAAATAAACAATAAAAAGTAGCAATACAACAATAAAGATAGAAAATGTAAAATACATTATACCAACTGTTTATATAGACTTTACATTGTATTAGGTATCAGTAATCTAGGCAGCATGTGCATAGGTGATATACAAATACTATGCCATTTTATATCAGGGACTTGAGCATCCACAGATCTTGGTATCCGAGGGGGTCCTGGAACCAATCCCCTGGGGATATCAAGGGACGACTACAAGTGGTCTTTTATAGACATTACTTTTAATTCTTGTGATAACTCCATGGTGTATACATAATCACCACCATCTTCAGATGAGGAAGTAGAAGCTCAAAAAGGTTCATAAAGTTACCAAAGTCACATAAGACAGAAGTTACTAAGCTATAACTCAGGTCTGTCACACTGCCATGTTTTTTCTAACAAGCCACACTGCTTCTTCCAGAAATCTCCCTGTTTTGGGACCATGTAGGCCTTATATGATGATGGCTGAAACTGATTCTTCCAATGCAATTAAACCCTTGACGTTTAAAAAATAAGTAAAAATCTAAAAATCAGTAGAAACAAAAGGATTCAAAAATTACATATGTTTATACCAGAATTTTCTTTTTGGTTTTCTTGAGCTATGTATTATTCAACAATGCCACTTCTTTCAGGGTTTCTTATGCATTCTCCTCAGTAATGTTTAAGAGATTTTTAAACAAGAGCCCCATTCAAGTTGTCATCATTGAATTTTAATCCCCTCAAGCAAATGGTCACACTAAAAGGGTGCAGCAGATGATGAAGGGTGCCCTGCAGCAAATTGCTTCAGGGGCCTGACCAAAAGGATTCAGTCAAGCTTCTAATCTTTCTACACATCAACAGCAGAAATCGTCAGGCAATCTTGATAATCAAGTGTTATCTCAATACTTGTTTCAAACATTTAAAGGAGACCTTGATGGGAACTTAAAACATAACCATGGCTTGTGCTTTGATTGTATCTACTCTTTCATTTTAACAAGAACACTTAATAGTTGGGGGAACTAGAGTCCTTACCCCAGGTATTCTCAGCTTCAATGTCAGTGGCTCAGAGGATGTCTCTGAAGTGCAAACCTCTACTTCATTAAAATAGTCTTCTAATCTGAAATCTATTTTTGGTTTCCCTGAGTTTATTTTAATTTTACTTTGCTTTTATGTTGCCTGTCCATTCCCTAGAAAAACACGAACTCCATCAGAACAGTATGTTATTAGTATAATTATTCACTGTATTCCTAGTTCCTAAGGAGTTTTCTGGAACATCATAGGAGCTCAGTAAACAAGCCATGAAGGAGCTGATGGCTGTAGAATTTACAGAGTATGTGCTATACATGGAGAGTAGAAACAAGGCAGGATAATAGGGTCTGGAGGCAGGGAACGTAAGGCCGATTCACACTGACTTCTTAGAACTAAATCTAAAGGAAAACCCCAACTCTCCACACCCAAGTAACAAAAGGGCCAGAGGCTACTCCCTTTGCAACCCCTGCCCCCTATTTTCTGCGTGGTGGATGAAAAACTGAAAGTACTTATGGTTGGTCCCCTCCCATAACTCAATCAGGCTGGCCATGGGCCAAGTCTTTATTTGCATAGGAGTATAACTTTGTAACTTCACTTCAGCCTCTGGTTGGTCACTTTCTGCAACCAATGAGACTGATCGTGGGCCGCTACCTCATTTACACAGGGTGTACATCAGGTAACCAACGGGAAACTTCTAGAGCGTATTTAAACCCCAAAAAATTCTGTAACCAGGCTCTTGAGCCCCTATGCTCAGGCCCATTCCCACCCAGTGGAGTGTACTTTCGTTTTCAGTAAATCTCTGCTTCTGTTGCTTCATGCTTTCCATGATTTGTTTGTGTGTTTTCTCCGATTCTTTGTTCAAGATGCCAAGAACCTGGACACCCTCCACCAGTAACAGAAGAGCTGAGTATAGCATTTCCAGGTTGATCAGTTTTCAAGGTCTTCATTTTGAAAGGGCTTGTTGAAGTAAAACCATCCAAAGTGTTTCCTCTGGAGCCACCTGGAATTGATTTTTCACACATCTAAAGTCTGCTTATGGCCACTGTATTAGCCCATTTTCACACTGCTGATATAGACATACCTGAGACTGGGTAATTTATAAAGAAGAAGAGGTTTAATGGACTCTCAGTTCCATGTGGATGGGGAGGCCTCACAATCATGGTGGAAGGTGAAAGTCATGTCTTACATGGGAGCAGACAGGAGAGAGAATAAGGGCCAAGGGGTAAACCCCTTATAAAACCATTAGATCTCGTGGGATTTATTCACTACCATGAGAACAGTATGGGGGAAGACCTGCCTCCATGATTCAGTTACCTCCTACTTGGTCCCTCCCATGACACGTGGGAATTGTAGGAGCTACAATTTAAGATGAGAGTTGGATGGGAACACAGCCAAGCCACATCAGCCACCAAGTGAAGAAAGTTCTCTGTGGCCACCACAGCTGTTGAGGAAGAAGCCATGGAATTTGTACTTTCACTTTTAGAATACAAAAGAAGGCTTGTAGAAGGTGTAAAAGAAACTGTTAGCTAAAAAGGATAAAATTCTGCATTTCTCAAGAGGCATAATACATTAATTAAATTAATATTTATTCAAAAATACTGTTTATCATATGTCAGGCATCATGTTATGAGCATAAGTTTCTAGGTTTGTGTCCGTGGTGAGCAAAACCAGACAATTTTCAAAGTTCTGTTGACCAAAACAATCAAACTCTGTAAAACATTTGAAGAGATTTATTCTGAGCCAAATATGAGTGACCTTGACCCATGACACAGCCCTCAGGAGGTCCAGAGAACATGTGTCCAAGGTGGTCAGGGTGCAGCTTGGTTTTATACATTTTAGGGAGGCATAAGACATCAATCAAACACAGTTAAGAAATACATTGGTTTCTTTGGGAGGCCAAGGCAGGTGGATCAAAAGGTCAAGAGATGGAGACCATCCTGGCCAACATGGTGAAACCCCATCTCTACTAAAACTACAAAAAATAAGCTGGGTGTGGTGGCGTGCCCCTATAGTCTCAGCTACTTGGGAGATCAAGGCAGGAAGATCACTTGAACCCAGGAGGCAGAGGTTGCAGTGAGCTGAGATGGCACCACTGCACTCCAGCCTGGCGACAGAGCAAGACTCAGTCTCAAAAGAAAAAAGAAAAAGAAAAAAGAAAAAAAAATACATTGGTTTGGTCCAGAAAGGCAGAACAACTTAAAGCCACAGGTGAATCAGGAGATGGGCTTCAATTGGTTGAGTTTGTCTGAAGACCTAGGATCAACAGAAAGGAATGTCTGGGTTAAGATAAGAAGTTGTGGAGATCAAAAGTGTTATCATGCAGATGAAGCTTTTAGCTAGCAGGCTTCAGAGAGAATAGATTATAAAATATTTCCTACCAGACTTAAAGTCTGTGTTGATGTTAGTGTCTGCCAGAGAGGTATAATGAGGCATGTTTGACCCCCACTCCCTATCATGGCCTGAAACGTTCTCTCAGGTTAAATTTTAAAACAGCCCTGGCTAAGGAGGAAGTCCATCCAGATGGTTGGAGGCCCTTAGAATTTTATTTTATTTTATTTTATTTTTTTTTTTTTTTTGAGACGGAGTCTCGCTCTGTCGCCCAGGCTGGAGTGCAGTGGCGGGATCTCGGCTCACTGCAAGCTCCGCCTCCCGGGTTCACGCCATTCTCCTGCCTCAGCCTCCCAAGTAGCTGGGACTACAGGCGCCCGCCACCACGCCCGGCTAATTTTTTGTATTTTTAGTAGAGACGGGGTTTCACCGTTTTAGCCGGGATGGTCTCGATCTCCTGACCTCGTGATCCGCCCGCCTCGGCCTCCCAAAGTGCTGGGATTACAGGCGTGAGCCACCGCGCCCGGCCTGGAGGCCCTTAGAATTTTATTTTTGGTTTACAACGGAAAGCTCTCCAATGACTCTCCACATATACCTCTTATCCTGCCCTTCAAAGCCCTACTATGATCTGTCTTATTTTCTCTCTGACCCGATCTCCTAGGATACATTCTCACTTACACTATTCCGTACACACTGATTTCCTTGTTAATCATTGAGAACACCAGGGTCTATTCTAATCTAAGAAAGTTGTATTTTTCCCTATGCCTGGAATGTACTTCCCTCACCTTCACTCTCCTCTATGCACATCATTCCATAGCTGACTTCTCAATAATTGAGATCTGGAAAGTGGCATAGTTTAATAACTCAATGTTAAATAGCCAGATGACTATACTCTATCATATTACCTGTTCTATTTATCTGAAAAACACATTGCTATTTAAATTTTTATAGTTTTTTTTAATATATTTGCCTGTTTATTTTCATCCCTCCCTACTAGAATATGAGCTTTGTGAGACATGGGAACTTTTCTTTCTGCCAGGGATTCCTTTTGGTTTGGTTCCTGCTTCATATACTCTATCTAGAATAGGGTTTGATACATAATAGATTCTCTCTATGTATTTGTTAAATGAAAAATGAATAGACATTTATCAAATAAAACCAATAAATGTATAATTGCAAGAGTGCTGAGTACTGTAAAGAAGTTCATCAAAATCCCTTTACAGGGATTTTGATGAAGAAAAGTACTGGTAGGATGTAGGGAAGCTACTTTAGGTAAACACATTTACCAAGTGCTTTCTATGGGGGTGGTAATTTGAGACCTGATAGAAGAGAAGGAGCTGGCAATGGAAAATGTGATAGAAAGAGTTCTCACTATTTTTTCTTCCACTTATTTTTTACACATTTATTTTAACTTTTTATTTTAAAATAGTTATGGATTCACAGAAAGTTCCTAAGATAGTACAGAGATGTTCTGTGGACCAGTCATCCAACTTTCCTCATGAAAACTATAGTATAATAGCAATTCCAGGAAGTTGACAGTGGTACAATGTTTGTGTATAGTCCTATGCCATTTTATCACGTGTAGGTTTGTGTAAACACTATTACACTCATACTGCAGAACTACTTCATCATCACAAAACATCACCCTCAGGCTGCTGCTTTATATTTTTCTCAGTCCCTTTGATTTTCTGCAGTTATGGGCTGTGGTGATTTAGGGTGAGGTCAGTACAAAATTGTTTCTATTCCATAAAGAAATGTATGCATCCATTCCTTGTTTAACTACTTCCGATAAGGCAGGATTTGTCGGGAGATTTTGAAAGCAAGTTATACATTTGCGTCAAATAGTGCCCTGAGTCATTTACAAGATGTTCAAAATAGCATGTGTTAGAGTAATAATTTTATGGTTCACATTCAATTATTGCTGTCCTAAAATCAGCAGGGTCTTTCTCTACTACAAGGTCAGATGCAAACTGTTTCCCCACTGTGGGAAAAAAAAAAAAAAAGAGATTTTCATAAAACCTAACCTGAAGTGTGCAAAGGGAATTAATTCCATTAGAGTACTAGCTTGTGCCTTCAAACTACCTGGGTATTCTGAAGATCTGTTTTGTAGTATTTTCTCTTTTCTACTCTACTCTCATTTGGAGATTAAAATTTTAAAAATACTTTGGTCAAATCTTACTCTTCTTTCTTGATCTTTTCTCATTACCTCATTATACAGTCATGTCTCACTAACAATGCTTGAAATTCTCCTAAGCATTGGGACTGAGACTAGCAAAGAAACATTGTTTTCATGAGATGGTTATTAACCTGACAGTGCTCATAGATTGTCACCCCACACAGCCTTCTTGTCCCTAAAGAAAATTTGAGCAAAGTTCCCCATGCACAATGCTTCTGAAGCTCTGGGCAGCTGCTCTCTTTCAGAGACTCTAAAAACATGATGAAATTATGTCACCAGAAGCAGTTCATTTGCCAGTGGACCAGCTGCCGTTTTGTGTAGACAGATTTATCAGAGGGTTGAATGCTGAGAATAACCTCAAGTATGGGGACATTGTAATTATGAATTCCAAATGGAAGAATTCACAACCAAAGATATCATCACAACATAATGCATCTGAATCTGTGTCCTCTGCTCCCCTAGGATTAAATATCACTATAGCACAAATAGGCAATTTATCTGCAGTGTCAGCCTTTAAAAAATTGTATTGAGCATCCTTGATTTTTCCTAAGTTTAAGTTAAGGGGAACACACACACACACACACACACACATACACACTCACTTTTAGGACTTGAGGACAGATGCAAAATGCATATAGGCAAAAAATTTCTCACCATAAATATTCCAAAATCACTGTATTGATCATTTTATTTAATCTATTACACATTATTAGGAAGTGTCCTAAAATTCTATGTGTTAGTGAGATTACTAGTTGTCATTTGAAAGGCTATATTAAATGGGGATTAGAACACAAATCAGATGAGAGGGAGAAGCAAGGTGGCAAAATAAAAAGCTCCACAAATTATTTTCCCCACAAGGACACCAAGGTACCAACCGTCTACAAGGAAAAAAAAAAACATCTTCATAAGAATCAAAAATTACATGAGCACTCATAGTACCTGGTTTTAACTTCATATTGCTGAAAGAGGCACGTAAGTGACAGAAAAAACAGTCCTGAACCAATGAGGCCACCCCTCCCCGACCCCCAGCAGCAGCAGTGTGGTGCTGAGACCATCCCTGGACATTGGGGGAGGGAGAACACAGCAATTGTCAAGCATTTAACTCAGTGCTGTCCTGTTAAAGCACAAAGAAAAACTGGACCAAATTCAGCTGACACTCACCAGCGGAGGGAACATTTAAGCCAGCCCCAGCCAGAGGGGAATCACCAATCCCACTGGTTGGAAACGCCAGTCGGAAATTGAGCGCCTGCAAACCTCACCACCAAGGGCTACAACACTCTGTGTCTCCAAGTAAACTTGAAAGGCAGTCTAGGCCATAAGGACTGCAACTCTTAGGTGAGGTCTAGTGTTGAACTAGGCCAAGAGACAGTGGACTGGATGGGCACACGACATACTGAGACACCAGCTGGGGCAGCAAAAGGAGTGCCGGCATCAACCCTCCCCAAATCCCACACGGCACAGCTCACACTTCTGAAAGCGACCCCATCCTTCTACTTGAGGACAGGAGAGGAAAGAGTGGGGAGGATTTGGTCTTGTATCTTAGATACCAGCTCAGTCACAGCAAGATAGGGCACCGGTCAGAGTCATGAGGCCTGAAAGACAAAAAAAAAAAAAAAAAAAAGTTCCAGCCCTTGGTGTCCAGAAGACATTTCTAGACACATTCTGGGCAAGAAAAGAAACTTCTCTCTTGAAGGAAAGGACCCAGTCCTTCCAGCATAAATCACCTGCTAACTAAAGAGCCCTTGGGCGCTGAATAACCAGCAACAATACCCAGGTACTGCGTCGAGGGGTTTGGGAGAGCCTCTGAGACTTGCTGGCTTCAAGTGAGACTCAACACATTACCAGCTGGGGTGACTATGGGGTGAAACTCTTTGTGCTTGAGAAAAGCAGAGAGAAAAGTAAAGGGGACTTTATCTTGCACCTTAGGTACCAGCAAGGCCACAAATGGGCTGTTGAGGTCCCTGTATTTACAAGTTGACACTTAAACAGTATTTCTGGACCTACCCTGGGCCAGCAGGGAGCCCACTGCGCTGAAGGGTGAGTCTCAGGCCAGGCAGCATTCACCACAAGCTGACTTAAGAGACCTTGGGCTTTAAGGAAACATTGGTGGTTCTCTGGCAATACAGCTCCTGGGCTGCAGTGGTGGTGGCTACGGTGTGAGGCTCCTCTACCTTGGGAGAAGGGAGAGAAGAGTGGGAAGGACTGCATCTTGTGGTTTGAGTGCCAGCTCAGCTGCAACACAATAGAACACTACATAGACTTCTAAGGTTTTTGATTGCAGTCCCTGACTCTTAGACAACACTTTTGGACCAACTAGAGGACTGGGAAACCTTGCCACCCTGAGGCAAAGGACACAGGAATAGCTGGCACTGCCACCTGCTGATTGCAGAGCCCAAGGGCATTGAACAAACATAAACAGTAGCCAGGGAGTGGTTACAGCAGGCCTTGGGCAAGAGCCAGCACTGTGATGGATTCAGGTATGACCCAGAGCAGTCATAGTGGTGGTGGCCACAGGGGTGTTTCTGTCACTGCATACCCAGTTTTAAGAGGCTTAGAGGAGTGAGAGAAACTCTGTAAGTTTTGGACAAAATAAGAAAAGAGAACAAGAGTCTATGCCTGGTAATCCAGAGGATTCTCGCGGATCTTGTCTAAGACCATCAAAGTGGTACTTCTATGAGACTGCAAGATCCACAGCATTACTGGGCTTGGGGTGCCCCAAAAGCAGATACAGCTTAGATCACAAGACCCAAGTCCTTTTAAATATCTGGAAAGGCTTCCCAAGTAGAATGGCTGCAAATAAGCCCAGAAAGTAAAGACTACAATAAGTACCTAACTCTTCAATACCTGGACACCAAAGAACATCTACTAGCATTAACACCATCCAGGAAAACTTGACCTCATCAAATGAACTAAATAAGGCATCAGGGACCAATCTTGGAGAAAGAGAGATATGTGACCTTTCAGAAAGACAATTCAAAATAGCTATGTTGAGGAAACTCAAAGAAGTTCAAGATAACACAGAGAAAGGAAATTAGAATTCTATCAGATAAATTTAACAAAGAGATTGAAATAATTAAAATAAGTCAAGCAGAAATTCTGAAGCTGAAAAATACAATTGGCATATTGAAGAAGGCATGAGAGTCTCTTAATAGAATGAACCCAGCAGAAGAAAGAATTAGTGAGCATGAAGACAGTCTATTTGAAAATACACAGTCAGAGGAGACAAAAGAAAGAAAAATAAAAAACAAGCAAGCACTCCTATAGGATCTAGAAAATAGCCTCAGAGAGACAAAGTAAAGAGTTATTGGCCTTAAAGAGGAGGTAGAGATATAGTGGTAGAAAGCTTATTCAAATGGATAATAACAGAGAACTTCCCAAACTTAGAAAAAGATATCAATATCCAAATACAAGATAGTTATAGAACACCAAGCAGAATTAAACCAAAGAAGACTACCTTTAGGTATTTAATAATCAAACTTCAAAAGATGAAAGATAAAGAAAGGATTTTAACAGTAACAAGATAAAAGAATCAAATAACATACAATGGAGTTCCAATATGTTTGGCAACAGACTTTCAGCAGAAACCTCACAGGCCAGGAAAGTATATATAAGGTGCTAAAGGAAAGATACTTGTACCTTAGACTAGTATATCCCTCAAAAATATCCTTCAAATATGACGGAGAAATAAAGACTTTCCCAGAAAAACAAAAGCTGAGGACTTCATCAGTACCAGACCTGTTGCACAGGTATTTATATATATAGATGTGTGTGTGTATACATATATATATACACACATATATATACACACATATGTATATACATATATGTACACACATATGTATATACATATATACACATATATACACATATATATACGTATATACACATATATACTCATATACACACATATATACATATATACACACATATATATTTATGATCCAAGTGGGTCTAATAAATATTTACAGAACATTTTATCCAAGAGCTGCAGAATACACATTCTTCTCCTCAGCACACGGATTATTCTCAAGGACAGACGAAATGTTAGGTCACAAAACAAGTCTTAACGCATTCCACAAAATTTTAATAATATCAAGCATCTCCTCTGACCACAATGGAAGAAAACTGAAAATTAATAACAAGAAAATTTTGGAAACTATACAAATACATGGTAATTCAACAATATGATTTGGAATGAACAGTGGGTCATTAAGAATCTAAGAAGAAAATAGAAAAATTTCTTGAAACAAATGATAATGGAAACACCACGTGCCAAAACCTATGAGATACAGTAAAAGCAGTACTAAGGGTGAAGTTTATAGCTATAAGTGCCTATATCAAAAAAGAGGAAAACCTCAAATGAGCACTCTGATGATGTATCTTAAAGAACTAAAAAAGCAAAAGCAAAGCAAACTCACAATTAGTAGAAGGAAAGAAACAATAATAATCACAAAAGAAATAAATGAAACCAAAATAAAAAAATACAAAAGATCAATGAAACAAAATGTTGTTTTTTGAAAAGTTAAAGAAAATTGACCAAACTTTAGTAATATTAACTAAGAAAAAAAGAGACAAGATACAAATAAATAAAATCAGATATGAAAAAGGAGACATTACAACTGATGCTGCAGAAATTCAAAGGATCATTAGTAGCAATTATGAACAACTATATGACAATAAATTGGAACATCTAGAAGAAGTGTACCAATTCCTAAATATATGCAACCTACCAAGATTGAACCAGGAAGAAATCCAAAACCTGAACAGACCAACAACAAGTAATGAGTTTGAAGCCATCACAAAAAATCTTCCAGTAATGAAAAACCCAGGACTCGATGGCTTTGGTGATAAATTCTACCAAACATTTAAAGAAGATCTAATTACCAATTCTAGTCAAACTATTCTGAAAAATAGAGGAGGAAGGAATACTTCCAAACTTATTCTGTGAGTCCCGTATCACCCTGATACCAGCATCAGGCAAAGACACATTAAAAAAAAACCTACAGGCCGATAACTTTGATGAATATTGATGCAAAACCCTCCACAAAAGACTAGCAAATGGAATTCAACAATTAGGAAGATCATTCATCATGATGAAGTGGAATTTGTCCCTGGGATGCCGGGATGGTTCAACATAAGCAAATCAATCAATATAATACATCATATCAACAGAATGAAGGATAAAAACCATAAGATTATTTCAATTGATGCCGAAGAAGCATTTGATGAAATTCAACATCCCTTCATGATTAAAAAAGAACCCTACAAAAACTGGAGATAGAAGGAACATCCCTAAACATAATAAAAGCCATATATGACAAACTCACAGCTAGTATCATAGTGAATGGGGAAAAACTGAAAGCCTTTCCTCTAAGACCTGAAACACAACTAGGATGCTCACTGTCATCATTGTTATTCAACATACTACTGGATGTCCTACTTAGAGCAATCAGACAAGAGAAAGACTTCAAGGGCATCCAAATTGGAAAGGAAGAAGTCAAATTATCCTTCTTTGCAAATGATAGAGTTTAATATTTGGAAAAACCTAAAGACTCCCAGGAAAACTGTTAGAACTAATAAAATTCAGTAAAGTTGCAGGATACAATATCAGCACACAAAAACAGTATCATTTCTATATGCCAACAGTGAAAAATGTGAGAAAGATATTTAAAAACAATCCCATTTACAATAGCCACACATAAAATTAAATACCTAGAAATTAAACAAAGAAGTGAAATATGTCTACAATGAAAACTATAAAACATTGATGAAAGAAATTAAAGAGGACACCAAAAAAAATTCCGCATTCAATAATTGGAAAAATAAATATTGTTAAATCTCCATACTACCCAAAGCAATCTATAGATTCAATGCAATCCTTATCAAAATACCAATGACATTCTTCACAGAAATAAAAAAAAATTCTAAAATTTATACAAAACCACCAAAGACCCAGAATAATCAAAGCTGTCCTAAGCAAAAGGAACAAAAATGAAGGAATTACATTACCTGACTTCACATTATACAACAGAGCTATAGTAACCATAAAAAAATAGACATATAGACCAAGGAAACAGAATACGGCACCCAGGAACACATCTACACAAGTACAGTAAACTCATTTTTGATGAAGATGCCAAGAACATACACTGGGAAATAGACAGTCTCTTTGATAAATGTTGCTGGGAAAACTGGATATTCATATGCAGATAAATGAAACACCACTATCTCTAGCTGTTTGCAAAAACCAAATCAAAATGGATTAAATACTTAAATCTAAGAGCTCAAACTATAAAACTACTGCAAGAAAACATTGGGTAAAATATCCAAGACATTGATCTGAGCAAAGATTTCTCGAGCAATTTCCCGCAAGCACAGACAACTAAAACAAAAATGGATAAATGGGATCACATCAAGCTAAAAAGCTTCTCAACAGCAAAGGATACAGTCAACAAAGGGAAGAGAAAATCCATAGAATGGGAGAAAATATTTGCCATCTACCCATCTGACAAGGGATTAAAAACCAGAATATAGAAGGAGTGCAAACAACTGTAGGAAAAAAATCTAATAATCTGATCAAAATTGGGCAAAATATTTGAATAGACGTCTCTCAAAAGAAGACATACAAATGGCAAACAGGCATATGAAAAGGTGATCACATCATTGATCATCAGAGAAGTGCAAATCAAAACTACAATGAGATATCATATCGCCCCAGTTAAAATGGCTTATATCCAAAAGACAGGCAATAACAAATAGTGAGGATGTGGAGAAAAGGAATCTTTGTACACTGTTGGTAGGAATGTACATTAGTACAACCACTGTGGTGAACAGTTTGGAAGTTCCTTAAAAACTAATAATGGAGCTGCTCTATGATCCAGCAATCCCACTGCTAGTTATATACCCAAAAGAAACAAAATGCGTATATTGAAGAGATACCTGCTTTCCCATGTTTGTTGCAGTACTGTCACAATAGCTAAGATTTGGAAGCAACATTAAGTTTCCATCAACGGATGGATAAAGAAAATGTAGTACATATATATGATGAAGTACGATTCAGCCATAAAAAAGAATGAAATCCAACCATTTGCAACGACATGGTTGGAACTAGAGATCATTATGTTAAGTGAAATAAGCCAGGCACAGAAAAACAAACGTCGCATGTTCTCACTTATTGGTGGAATCTAAACATCAAGGCAATTGAACTCCAGGATGATTACCAGAGGCTGAGAAGGGTAGTGGAGAGACTTGAGGAGAAGTGGGGATGGTTAATGGGTACAAAAAAGCAGAAGAATGAATAAGACCTACTATTCGATAGCATAATAGGGTGAGTATAGTCAATAATAATTGTACATTTTAAAATAACTTAAAGTGTGTAATTGGATTGTTTGTAACTCAATATAAATGCTTGAGGGAATGGATACGCCATTCTTCATGATGTGCTTATTTCACATTGCATGCTTGTATCAAAGCCTCTCTCATGTACCCTATAAGTATATACACCTACTATGTACCCACAAAAATTATAAAAATAAAAAGGCTAGGCATGGTGGCTCACACCTGTAATCCCAGCACTTTGGAAGGCCGAGGCAGGTGGATCATCTGAGGCCAGGAGTTCGAGACCAACCTGGCCAACGTGGCAAAACCCCGTCTCTACTAAAAATACAAAAATAGGCTGGGCGTGGTGGCGCATGCCTGTAATTCCAATTACTCGAGAGGTTGAGGCATGAGAATTGCTTGAACCCAGGAGGTGGAGGATGCAGTGAGCCGAGATCATGCCACTGCACTCCAGGCTGGGTGACAAAGTGAGACTCTGTCCCCTCTTACCCCCCAAAAATATAATAATGATAAAAAGAAAAAAAATGTAAAAACAATAAAAAAAATCAACAGTGATATGTTATTGAAAGTCCCCTGGAAATGTTCAGTATTCTATGGTATTTTGGGCAGAATTAACAAACTTTATATCTAACATTAAAAATTCAAAATTTTTCACATTTCAATAGGGATAATTTCATCACTTAAGGCTGTCTGCACCATATGACACTGCCTTTTATAGTCATCTTTCTAAGAATAGTAAGAGTTTTTTTATTGAAACACATGATATATATTTCAGCTAAATTTTGCTTTTTTCTCTTTCATAGTTGATAGATTATCTCAAAGAGCTCTTTCTTTTCTAGTTTATTTAACACAGATTTCCACCAACATTCCATTAGTAGCTATATTCTCTCTTAGCATCACTGGGCAATTCCATCCGTTGCCATGTTTTAAGTACCATATATATACTGATGATTCTCAAATATTAATCTCTAGCCCAGCCTATTCCTCTTAATTCTAGACTGAAACACTCAACTACCAGCTGTACCTTTTACTCATTTATCCAGTGATCATAAAATCTATTCTTCAAACCTGAATACACTTCTCCAACACCCGAATTTCTTTTTTTTTTTTTTTTTTGCCTACTCAGTTTCATAGTACCATGAATAATGTCACTATCGAAGCAGAATGTAAACTTTTCATCCTCCCCTCAACATGTACATGCAGTTAGCAAACAAATCTTTCTGGTTTCTTTTGATCTCCCCCTCTTGTCTTTCTTTAAGGCCACTTCTCAAACTCAGACTCTATTCCCCTTGTGACATATTGCTATAGTCTCCTAACTGGCTTTTCTACTTCCGGTCTCTTTTTTATGCTGTCATTTTCACACTGCTCTTTGATTTACCTTCCAAAACCATAGATCTGATGATGCTGCTGATCTGTTCCTTTTAAAAAATGCTTTCTAGTGCACATATTCTGATGTAAAACCTCATATAATATAATCTCAATGTATCTTTTCAGCTTTATTTTTCTGCTAGCCATACTGACCTATTTGCCATGCATGATGGAAGAAGACTCAATTCTTCCAGTTTTGGCTTTAGCTTGAGCTTTTCCCACAGCGGAAAATTCTACACTTGCATATCCATGTTCTGAATTTGTTGTCCTATTTATCTTAGAAGATAAAATTCAAATATTTCCTCCTCCATAAAATATTTCTGTGTCTCCTAGTAGCACGTAATCTCTCATTCTCTTTCATGGAATGTTTTTATAACTGGGTTAAATAACCTTTTATTATTTTTACAAAATTCACTTATTGAGTTTCTTGAGTTATTATTTGTGAGGTACAAAGGTTGTACTGGTGACCAATGTAGACCAGCTCCCTATTATTAGGAGGCTTATATTCTACTGGTGAGATAAATAAACAGTAAACCCAGTTCAGAAGGCACAATAGTGTTGCAATGTGCTATGACTTTGGTAAGAGTAGGGAGCATCTTTAGATCAGATCATCATGAAGGGCCTTGTTGAGGAAATGACATTTGAAATGTGGCCTGAATGACGAGCAGAAGCTGCCCATGTGAATTTAGAAATAAAAAACATTCCATATAGAATCAACGATAAGTAAAAATTTCCGAAGGGGAGAAAAGGTATTCGAGGACCAGAAAAGAACTGCATACCTGAAATGCAATGAGCTGATATTTGGATATTTACTAAGCATTTACTATGTGCAAGATGGTGAACAAAACAGAGACATTCCTTGATCTCAAGTGGTGTCAGTATAATGAACAAGATGAATATTGACCCGCAATAACACAAACATATACTGATATTGTGATTAGGGCAATTAAGGAAATGTAAGGGCAGGCACTCTTATATGCTTTCCAGGTAGCAAAATGGAGATTTTCAGAAAATTGTCACATCTGCGGAGGTCAGAGAAGAGGTTCGGACTGAAGATGTTAATTAGTTAGTCCTCAACATATAGATGAGTAATTGAAGTCTTGGTTTTAAAACAAGGCTCCAGGCTACAACATTAAGAAACTATTTGAGGATAAGCCTATGAAAGTGCCTAGAAGGAGAAGCCAGAGAACTAAGAGGAAAACCAGAATACCAGAAGCTAAGAGAAATAATAGCCTCAAAAGAGAGGGAGTTAAAACTTTGGCCAATACTGTTGAGAAATTAATGGGCATGAAATCTGAAAAGCATGTTCTGGATTGTCCAACAAGAAAATCATTGGTAAAGCTGAGAGAAATTAATATTGGTGAAGTGGTGGGGACAGAGAAGGAACTAGAATGAGTTGGGGAGAAATGGGAAGTAATGCAATGGAGACATGATTTATAGACACTTCTTTCCAGGGACTTGGCTATAAGCAGTAGTAGAGAATTGGCAATTAGAATAACCTCAATTAAAGTGATCCCAACATCATTTGGGTACTACCAAATGATTTAAATCTCTTCATTGATTTAAACTTCTTTTTCCTTCTCTTAATTATGTGTTGTTAGATCACCACCATTATTTTCATTTTCTATTACTGAAGAACAAGTGGGTTAGACTCAATGAATTTTTAAAGGCCATAAGTATCTATTCAAAGGTTACACAGCTTAGAAGTAGCAGAGCTGAAGCCAAAAGCTATGTCTTCTAATTTCAACTTGATCATGCTACGTGCTACCTCCAGTCAAAACCTATATTCTAAGTCATTCTGTCTTTAAACATAAAGAGGTTGAGTTATTCTGAAGGAAATTGTTCACCAACCTCTTAAGGTTAATTTTGGCTTTAGGGGAAATTTCCTTATTCTGTAATGATTTAGAATGTGATCTTCTAAGCAGATATCTAAAGGCAATCACCTGAAGATGACTGCTCCTAAGCATAGATCCTCACTGATAACCCTACACCTTGGGCTTTTATTATCATTAATTATATAAAAAAACATAATTTGTTGGGGATGGGATGTAAATAATTATATTTTTCTCAGGAATTGATGTTGGGACACACATATTTACCTAACAAATATTCACTTTTTAAAAATTATAACAATGATAAGTTGTCCATAATCACATTTGTAATTGTTTCTGGTGCTCCAAATCCATTACAGAGAAACATCTGTGTATCATTTTCAACTCAAAGAATAGAAGAGCTGGAATGGGCAACAGAGGTCTTGCTACCCAATACTGTCCTGGTTCCATGATTGAAGGCATATTACTGTAAAATACTTTTAAACATCCTATTTGTTGGAAGAGAAGACTACTGTGCCTCTTTGCTTTTTATAAATAATATCCAGAAGTTTTCTCTCCATTTCTCAGTTCTTGGACATTATATCACAGAATGCATACCATTGTATGTACCCTTACTATATTTGCTATTTATGGGAATTCACCCAAGTTATTAATTTTATAATATTTTTCTGGAAACATTTCCCTTTCTAAGTATTTTTAGGGAATTGTAGGAAAAAAACTCTTTAATCACAAAGTTATACTAAAAACCTAAACAGAAACTATGACATAATACAGGTTAACCTTTAAACTTTAGATAGCTTGTATATAGACACCAAGAAATAAAATGGTAATCTTAGTCCAAGGTACCCATTTAATTTGTCACTATCTTTACCATTTTATTCCTTATTTAAGTGTGGGGATGAAGCCACTTCCTGAGACTTTCAAGCCATATTGATCACCTCTTTGTTATGCTCACATTCTGAATATTGCCTGGACTCTCATACATGTGCCAAGCCTCGGCCAAACATGTTCTCTCTCAGCTCAACTTCAGTGAATCCATCATCCAGCATATTTATCACCACCCGTAAAACTAGCACAGTACTTTTTGTGGCTAGTCAACCAGAAGGGTATACATCAGCTCTCCTGAGTTCTGAAAAAGTAGATTCTGACAAATAAACAGACAATTCACTGTAAAACAAAATAAAACAAAACAGCAGTGCTAATCGTGAGCATTTTCATTGTGTTGGAAAAGGCATAAGGCAAAGAGCACAGCAGCTCCTTCCCCACTGTCATGTATAGATTTATAGTTTAAGATATACAGTACAAGTATATATACTTGGGAGAATATACTGGAGAGTAACAGAGTAAAACCTGATACCAGTCAAGGGAAAAAGCAAAAGGGCCATATAGTTTCAAATTGAAACAAACAGTGAGCAGAGAGTTATTTTATAAACGAGAAAGAATGCTGCTTTATAAATATAATGCACATTTTACTCCTCTTTTAATCAATAGAGTTTATGTTTTTAAAACAGTTTTAGATTTACAGAAATCTACAATTCCCCCTATTGTTAACATGATGCATTGGTATGGTACATTTGTTGCAATTAATTAATCATAACAATTGATACATTATTACTAACAAAAGTTCACACTTTAGATTAGGGTTCATTCTTTGTGTTATATAGTTTTATGGGTTTTGATAAAAACATAATGTCATGTATCCACCATCACAATGGGAGGCAATTGTTTCGTCATCATAGAAATTTCTTATACTTCACCTATTTATCTCTATTTTACTCTTTTTTAAATGTATCATGAGTATATTTATTATGGTATCAAGTTCAAATGAGATCAAATGTTTAAATCTATTGAATTTGTCAATACAAAGCAAAATTGTAACATATACGCATTTTCTTCTATATTTTTAAAATTTTATTTAAAAGACTATCAAAATAAGTTGTTTTTTTTTTTTTAGATGGAGTTTTGCTCTTGTTGCCCAGGCTGGAGTGCAATGGTGTGATCTCGGCTCACTGCAACCTCCGTCTCCTGGGTTCTAGTGATTCTCCTGCGTCCGCCTCCCAAGTAGCTGGGATTTCAGGCCCCTGCCACCACACCTGGATAATTTTTGCATTTTTGGTAGAGATGGGGTTTTACCATGTTGGCCAGGCTGGTCTCGAACTCCTGACCTCAGGTGATCAGCCTGCGTCGGCCTCCTAAAGTGCTGGGATTACAGGCATCAGCCACCATGCCCGGCCCCAAAATGAGTTTTGTTTTGTTTTTGTTTTTGTTTTGGTTTTTTTTTGAGACAGAGTATCACTCTGTTGCCCGTCCTGGAGTGCAGTGGTGTGGTCTTGGTTCACTGCAACCTCCGCCTCCCAGGTTCAAGTGATTCTCCTGCCTCAGCCTCCCGAGTAGCTGGGATTACAGGCATGCACTACCACACCCTGCTAAATTTTTGTATTTTTAGTAGAGACAGGGTTTCACCATGTTGGCCAGGCTGGTTTTGAACTTCTGACCTCAAGTGATCCACCTGCTTCGGCCTCCCAAAGTGCTAGGATTACAGGCATGAGCCACTGTGCCTGGCCTCCAGATAAGTTTATAATATCAAAATAATCTCTTACAAATATGTGAGGTCATGGATATGTTAATTAGCTTGATTGTGGTAATGATTTCACAAAGTAAATCAAAACATTACAATGTACACTTTAAATATATACAAGCCTACCCCGAGGTGTAATGTGTTTCACTTTATTGCTCTTTTCAGGTATTGTGTTTTTTACAAATTGAAGGTTTGTGGCAACCCTGCGCACAGCAAGTCTATTGCCACCATTTTTCCAGTATCATGTGCTCACTTTGCGTCTCTGTCGAATTTTGGTAATTCTCACAGTATTCTAAATATTATTATTATTATTTTTATATCTGTTATGGTAATCTGTGATCAGCTATCTTGGATGTTTTACTATTGTCATTACTTGGGGCCCCCACAAACCACGCCTATGTAAGATGGCAAAGTTAATCTATAAACACTGTGTTCTGACTACTCCACTGACCAGCCATTCCCCTGTCTCTCTCCCTCTTGTTGGGCCTTCCTATTTTCTCGGACACAACAATCTTAAAATTAGGACAATTGATAACCCTACAATGGCCTCTAAGTATTCAAGTGAAATAAAGATCTGCGTATCTATCACTTTAAATCAAAAGCTAGAAATGATAAAGCTTAGTGAAGGAGGCATGTTGAAAACTGAGATAGATAGCAAGCTAGACCTCTTGTGCCAAACAGCCAGGCTGTGAATGCAAAGGAAAAGTTTTTGGAGAAATTCAAAAAGTACTACTCCAGTGAACACATGAATGATAAGAAAGCAAAACAGCCATATTGCTGATATGGAGAAAGTTTTAGTGCTCTTTATAGAAGATAAAACTATCCACAACATTCCCTTAAGCCAAAGCTTAATCCAGAGCAAAGTTCTAACTTTTTTCAATTCTGTGAAGGTCAAGAGAGGTGAGGAAGCTGTAGAAGAAGAGTTGGAAGCTCATAGAGGTTGGTTCGTGAGGTTAAAGGAAGGAAGCCGTCTCTTTGGTGAAGAAACAAGTGCTGATGTGGAAGCTGCAGCAAGTTCTCCAGAAGATCTAGCTAAGATAATTGATGAAGGTGGCTATTCTCAAAAATAGATTTTTAATGTAGACAAAACAGCTTTATATTGGAAGAATATGCCATCTAGGACTTTCATAGCTAGAAAGAAGTTAATTCCTGGCTTCAAAGCTTCAAAGCACAGGCTGACTCTCTTGTTAGGGGCTAACGCAGCTGGTGACTTTACACTGAAGCCAATGCTTATTGACTATTCCAAAAATCCTAGTGTTATTAAAAATTATGCTAAATTACTCTTTTTCTTTTCCCTATAAATGGAACAACAAAACTTGGAAGTCAGCACATCTGTTTGCTGCATGGTTTACTGAATATTTTAAGCCCACTGATGGCACCTACTGCTCAGAAAAAACAGATTCCTTTCAAAATAGTACATGTTTACTGAAAATGCACCTGGTCACCTAAGAGCTCAGATGAAGACGTGTAAGGAGATTAATGTTGTTTTCACACCTGTTAACACAATATCCATTCTGCAGCCCATGGATCAAGAAGTAACTTTGAATTTCAAGCTTTATTATTTAAGAAAGACATTCTGGAAGGTGATAGCTGCCATAGATAGTGATTCCTCTGACAGATCTGGGCAAAATTGATTGAAAGCCTCCTTGAAAGTATTTGCCATTCTAGATGCCATTAAGAACATTCAAGATTCATGGGAAGAGGTCAAAATATCAACATTAAGAGAGTTTGGAAGAAGTTGATTCCAACCCACATGGATGACTCTGAGGGGTTTAAGACTTCAGTAGAGGAAGTAACAGCAAATGTAGTAAAAAAAAAAAAAAAATAGCAAAAGAACCAGAATTAGAAGTGGAGCCTGAAGATGTGAGTGATATGCTGAGTTCTCATGA